>NW_021160002.1:0-45257 GCF_000001405.40 Homo sapiens
ATTTATCAGTTCTAACAGTTTTTTTTTTTATGTCAGTGTCTAAGTTTATCTAGGTTAAGATCATGTTGTCGGCAAAGAAGGCCAATTTGACTTACTTGTGTCAAATTTGGATGCCCTTTTTCTCTTTTTCTTGCTTAATTGCTCTGTCCAGAACTTCTAGTATTACGTTGTATAAAAGTAGTGAAACTCGGCATCCTGATATTGTTCCAGATCTTAAAAGAAAGGCTGTCAACTTTTCCCTGTGGAGCGTAACCTCACAGTGTGAGGTTGTCATATACGGCCTTTATTATTTTGAGATATGTTACTTCCATATGCAGTTTGATGAGCGTTGTTATCATAAAGGAAAGTTGAATTTTATTAAGTGCTTTTTTTGGCATCTATTGAAATAATCATATGCTTCTTTGCTTTTTTTTTGAGAGAGGGTCTCACTCTGTCAAAAATTTGCTATCTCTTTTGGCCAAGTTACAGAACAGTATCCAGGGCTGGGGATGTAGGGAGGTAGTCCCACCTATAGTCTTTGTTTCTGCCTGCCCTCACGGGTATTTCTCTCTTCAGGAAGTCAGGATACTTTCCACTGGTTAGGATAAGGACAGGTCTTTCTAACAGGGAACCCAAGATGTGGGGAAAGCTGCTTGACCACCTTCATCTCACTTTTTGCAGTATGGAAACTGTAAGTTGGGAGATTTTTCTGCTTGCTTGTTGCCAGGCAGAAAGGGAGGAGGAGTGTCATAGATGTGGAAGTTCAATTATTCTACAGTTTGCTCAGTTTTTTCGCTTCACTGTGGCCTTGGTATCTGTCTCATCCTCATATTTGAGTTCTCAGTTGTTGCTGGTGCAAATATCTGCACTGTATATTTGTTTTTGTTTCTGGGGAGTGCAGGGGTTGAAACCATTCTGTTTCTACACGGCTATTTTAAAACCAGAAGTCCGATTATTGAAGTTCTAAAACAAAATTGAAAACAAAAGTTTTCAAGTACTAACCATGTGCTAGGCATTGTGCTGAATTCAGAGGTGATGTTTGCCAGCAAAAAACTCATTGTATAATGCAAGGAAAACATATACACATACATGCTTCAAGGCAAGTATACCATAACCTAGAAGAGAGAACACCCAAAGGATCTTAGGGAAACAGTATTAGGGTGGTACTTAGGGTTGTAGGGTAGATGCTTTGGAATTGATAGTTAAGTGTGTAAATTTTCTAAGAAAATATTAGGAATTTTTGTGCACATACACATAGGATTTTCTAGTAATCTAAATTTTATTCATATTGCATCATAATGTGAGTTTTATGCCATATTCTTGCCCATTTACTCTTGAGTTCTGCACTGTGTGCTTGCTGTTACAATTGACTGCTTTGGACAGGAGCGTTGGAACAGTAAATTGAAGGAACATCATTGTAGCACAGTTGAGTGTCTGCAGCTGGGTAGCATACATCTATGCTATAGTATTGACTATTCTCTTGTTATGAATATGTGATGCTTGATAACCTTTTCTTGCATACATCTTTTCTATTCCCCCTAGCTCGTATGTTTTCACATAAAGACTTTTTGGTAATTTTGTCACAAGTGGCTAGACATGTTAAATAAAACAAATTAAAAGACTTTTCTTTCAATATTGTTTTGTCATTTAAAACAAAATAAAATTACCAGAATGATTATAATAAGCTATTTTTACAGGTGTTCAAGCCAATGTTACCTGATTATTTAATAATGATGCATAATATTTTCATTATTTTTAGGTTATAAATATTTTTAATCTCTATTTTTGCTTCTTTGACCATGAGTTGTTCAGAATTATATTTACAGTTCTCAAAAGTGTTCGGTTATCTTATCATAATTTGATTACTGATTTTTAAAATTATCATTTATATGATAATAAATTCATGAATAATAACTCATTTTCATATGATAGTCTTTGAAAAATGTTGTTACCAGATTTATGGGCTAGCACTTGTAATTTCTGATACAATTGTTTCAGATGTGCTTGATAAAAGATATACTTTCCAAACATATCCCCTACTGTTGTATGCAATATTCTATGCATGTCCATTAAATCAAACTTCTTGTGTTATTTTAAACTTTCTATAGCTTAACTGATTTTTGTCTGCCTAGTCTATCACTTACTGAAAAGTTCTCAGTTGTCTTATTGTATTTCTATTAGTTTTTTTCTTCATATATTTTGAAGCTGAGTTATAACTGTGTAAGTTCAAAATTGCCATATTTTCTTTGTGAATCAAACCCTTTCATAAGATATGAAACTTTTTATTTTTAGAAATGTTTTTGTTTAAAAATCTAATAATGAGGTAATACAAATTTTACCTATTATATTAGATAATACAAAATAATACAAATTTTGTTTTGGTTAAAATTTAACTCGTATATATTTTCCATCCTTTCACTTTAACATTTTCTTGTTTCTTAAGTTTTCAGTGTCTCTTGAAATAAAATATAGCATTTTCCATTCCAAGATGGCCGAATAGGAAAATCTCTGGTCTGTAGCTCCCAGCTACACACCAGACACAGAATATAGGCGATTTCTGCATTTCCAGCTGAGCTACCTGGTTCATCTCACTGGGACTGGTTGGACAGTGGGTGCAGCCCACGGAGGGTGAGCTGAAGCAGGGTGGGATATCGCCTCACCCGAGAAGCGCAATGGATCCAGGGATTTCCCTTTCCTAGCCAAGGGAAGCCGTGACAGACTGTACTTTGGCTTGACTGTACACTCCTGCCCAAATACTGTGCTTTTCCCATGGTCTTAGCAACCAGCAGACCAGGATATTCCCTCCCATGCCTGGCTCAGAGGGTCCCACGCCCACGGAGCCTTGCTTACTGCTAGTGCAGCAGTCTGAGATCGACCTGCGAGGCTGCAGCCTGGCTGGGGGAGGGGCGTCTGCCATTGCTGAGGCTTGAGTAGGTAAACAAAGCAGCTGGGAAGCTCGAACTGGGCAGAGCCCACCACAGCTCAGCAAGACCTACTGCCTTTATAGACTCCACCTCTGTGAGCAGGGCATACCTGAACCAAAGACAGCAGAAACTTTTGCAGACTTAAACATCCCTGTCTGACAGCTCTGAAGAGAGCAGTGGTTCTCGAGCACAGCATTTGAGCTCTGAGAATGGACAGACTGCCTCCTCAAGTGGGTCCTTGACCCCCTGTAGCCTAACTGGGAGACACCTCCCAGTAGGAGCCGACAGACACCTCATACAGGTAGGTGCCCCTCTGGGATGAAGCTTCCAGAGGAATGATCAAGCAGCAATATTTCCTATTTTGCAATAGTTGCTGTTCTACAGCCTCTGCTGGTGATAACCATGCAAACAGTGTCTGAAGTGGACCTTCAGCAAACTCCAACAGACCTGCAGCTGAGGGACCTGACTGTTAGAAGGAAAACTAACAAACAGAAAGGAATAGCATCAACATCACCAAAAGGACATCTACACACATCTACACCAAAACCCCATCTGCAGGTCACCAACATCAAAGACCAAAGGTAGATTAAAACTGCAAAGATGGGGAGCAACCAGAGCAGACAAGCTGAAAATTCTAAAAACCATAGTGCCTCTCCTCCTCCAAAGGATTGCAGCTCCTTGCCAGCAACGGAACAAAGATGGACGGAGAATGACTTTGATGAGTTGACAAAAGTAGGGTTCAGAAGGTCGGTAATAACAAACTTCTCCAAGCTAAAGGAGCATGTTCTAACTCATGGCAAGGAAGCTAAAAACCTTGAAAAAAGGTTAGATGAATGGCTAGAATAAACAGTGTAGAGAACACCTTAAATGACCTGATAGTGCTTAAAACCATGGCACAAGAACTTCATGATGCATGCACAAGCTTCAATAGCCAATTCGAACAACTGGAAGAAAGGGTATCAGTGATTGAAGATCAAATGAATGAAATAAAGTGAGAAGACAAGTTTAAAGAAAAAAGAGTAAAAATAAATGAACAAAGCCTCCAAGAAATATGGGACTATGTGTAAAGACCAAATCTACGTTTGGTTGGTGTACCTGAAAGTGATGGGGAGAATGGAACCAAGTTGGAAAACACTCTTCAGGGTGTTATTGAGGAGAACTTCCCCAAAGGGGCAATGCAGGCCAGTAATCAAATTCAGGAAATACAGAGAACAACACAAAGATACTCCTTGAGAAGAGCAACACCAAGACACACAATTGTCAGACTCATCAAGGTTGAAATGAAGGAAAAAATGTTAAGGGCAGCCAGAGAGAAAGGTCAGGTTACCCATAAAGGGAAACCCATCACACTAACAGTGGATCTCTCTGCAGAAATCCTATAAACTAGAAGAGAGTGGGGGCCAATATGTTCAACATTCTTAAAGAAAAGATTTTTCAACACAGAATTTCATATCCAGCCAAACTAAGCTTTATACATGAAGAAGAAATAAAATCCTTTACAGACAAGCAAATGCTGAGAGATTTTGTCACCACCAGGCCTGCCTTACAAGAGCTCCTGAAGGAAGCACTAAATATGGAAAGGAAAAACCAGTACCAGCCACTCCAAAAACATGCCAAATTGTAAAGATCATCGATGCTATGAAGAAACTGCATCAATTAGTGGGCAAAATAACCAGCTAACATCACAATGACAGGATCAAATTCACACATAATAGTATTAACCTTGAATGTAAATGGGCTGATTGCCTCAACTAAAAGACACAGGCTAGCAAATTGGATAAAGAGTTGAGACTCATCAGTGTGCTGTATTCAGGAGACCCATGTCATGTGAAGAGACACACATAGGCTCAAAATAAAGGGATGGAGAAAGATCTACCAAGCAAATGGAAAGCAAAAAAAAGCAGGGGCTGCAATCCTAGTCTCTGACAAAACAGACTTTAAACCAACAAAGATCAAAAGAGACAAAGAAGGCCATTACATAATGGTAAAGGGATCAATTCAACAAGAAGAGCTAACTATCCTAAATATATATGCACCCAATAAAAGAGCACCCAGATTCATAAAGTAAGTCCTTAGAGAGCTACAAAGAGACTTAGACTACCACACAATAATAATGGGAGACTATAACACCCCACTTTCAATACTAGACAGATCAACGAGGCAGAAGGTTAACAAGGATATCCAGGACTTGAACTCAGCTCTGCACCAAGCAGACCTAATAGACATCTACAGAACTCTCCACCCTAAATCAACAGAATATACATTCTTCTCAGCATCACATTGAACTTATTCTAAAATAGACCACATAATTGGAAGTAAAGCACTCCTCAGCAAATGTAAAAGAACACAAATCACAAGAAACTGTCTCTCAGGCCACAGTGCAATCAAATTAGAACTCAGGATTAAGAAACTCACTGAAAACCGCACAACTACATGGAAACTGAGCAACCTGCTTCTGAATGACTACTGGTTAAATAAGAAAGTGAAGGCAGAAGTACAGATGTTCTTTGAAACCAATGAGAACAAAGACACAAGGTACCAGAATCTCTGGGACACATTTAAAGCAGTGTGTAGAGGGAAATTTATAGCACTAAACGCCCACAAGACAAAGCAGGAAGGATCTAAAATTGATACCCTAACATCACAATTAAAAGAACTAGAGAAGCGAGAGCAAACAATTTCAAAAGCTAGCAGAAAGCAAGAAAAAACTAAGCTCAGAGCAGAACTGAAGGAGGCAGAGACATGAAAAACTCTTCAAAAAAATCAATGAACCCAGGAGCTGGTTTTTTGAAAAGATCAACACAATTGATAGACTGCTAGCAAAACTGATAAAGAAAAAAGAGAGAATAATCAAAGAGATGCAATAAAAACTGATAAAAGGGATATCACCACCAATCCTACAGAAATACAAACTACCATCAGAGAATACTAGAAACACCTCTATGCAAATAAACTACAAAATCTAGAAGAAATGGATAAATTCCTGGACACATTCACCCTCCAAAGACTAAACCAGGAAGAAATTGAATCTCTCAATAGACCAATAACAGTCTCTGAAATTGAGGCAATAATTAATAGCCTAACAACCAAAAAAAGTCCAGGACCAGATGGATTCACAGCCAAATTCTACCAGAGGTACAAAGAGGAGCTGGTACCATTCCTTCTGAAACTATTCTAATCAATAGAAAAAAATCCTCTCTAACTCATTTTATGAGGCCAACATTATCCTGATACCAAAGCCTGGCAGAGATACAACAAAAAAAGAGAATTTTAGGCCAATATCCCTGATGAATATTGATGCAAAAATCCTCAATAAAATACTGGCAAACTGAATCCAGCAGCACATCAAAAAGCTTATCCACCATGATCAAGTTGGCTTCATCCTTGGGATGCAAGGTGGGTTCAACATACACAAATCAATAAACATAATCTATCACATAAACAGGACCAATGACCAAAACCACATGATTATCTCAATAGATGCAGAAAAGGCCTTTGACAAAATTCAGCAGCCCTTCATGCTAAAAACTCTCAATAAACTAGGTATTGATGGAACGTATCTCAACATTATAAGAGCTATTTATGACAAACCCACAGCCAATATCATACTGAATGAGCAAAAACTGGAAGCATTCCCTTTGAAAACCAGCACAATACAAGGATGCCCGCTCTGACCACCCCTATTCAACATAGTGTTGGACGTTCTGGCCAGGGCAATCAGGCAACAGAAAGAAATAAAGGATGTTCAATTAGGGAAAGAAGAAGTCAAATTGTCCCTGTTTGCAGATGACATGATTGTATATTTAGAAAACCCCATCATGTCAGCCCCATATCTCCTTAAGCTGATAAGCAACTTCAGCAAAGTCTCAGATACAAAATCAGTGTGCAAAAATCACAGCATTCCTGTACACCAATAACAGACAAACAGAGAGCCAAATCATGGGTGAACTCCCATTCACAATTGCTACAAAGAGAATAAAATTCCTAGGAATCCACGTTACAAGGGATGTGAAGGACCTCTTCAAGGAGAACTACAAACACAGCTCAATGAAATAAAAGAGGACACAAACAAATGGAAGAATATTCCATGCTCATGGATAGGAATAATCAAAATTGTGAAAATGGCCATACTGCCCAAGGTAATTTATAGATTCAATGCCATCCCCATCAAGCTACCAATGACTTTCTTCACAGAATTGGAAAAAACTACTTTAACGTTCATATGGAATCAAAAAAGAGCCAGCATTGCCAAGATAATCCTAAGCAAAAAGAACAAAGCTGGAGGCATCACGCTATCTGACTTCAAACTATACTATAAGGCTACGATAACCAAAACGTATGGTACTGGTACCAAAACAGATATATAGACCAGTGGAACAGAACAGAGGACTCAGAAATAACATCACACATCTACAGCCATGTGATCTTTGACAAACCTGACAAAAACAAGAAATGGGGAAAGGATTCCCTATTTAATAAATGGTGCTGGGAAAACTGGCTAGCCATATGTAGAAAGCTGAATCTGGATCCCTTCCTTACACCTTATGCAAAAATTAATTCAAGATGGATTAAAGACTTAAATGTTAGACCTAATACCATAAAAACCCTAGAAGAAAACAGAGAGAGTACCTTTCAGGACATAGGCATGGGCAAAGACTTCATGACTAAAACATCAAAAGCAATGGCAACAGAAGTGAAAATTGACAAATGGGATCTAATTAAACTAAAGAGCTTCTGCATGGCAAAAGTAACTACCATCAGAGTGAACAGGCAACCTACAGAATGGGAGAAAATTTTTGCAATCTACCCATCTGACAAAGGGCTAATATCCAGAATCTACAAAGAACTTAAACAAAGTTACAAGAAAAAAATCAAGCAACCCCATCAAAAATTGGGCAAAGGATATGAACAGACACTTCTCAAAAGAAGACTTTTATGTAGCCAACAGACACATGAAAAAATGCTCATCATCACTGGTCATCAGAGGAATGCAAATTAAAACCACAATAAGATACCATCTCATGCTAGTTAGAATGGCAATCATTAAAAAGTCAGGAAACAACAGGTGCTGGAGAGGATGTGGAGAAATAGGAACACTTTTACACTGGTGGTGGGAGTGTAAATTAGTTCAATCATTTTGGAAGACAGTGTAGCAATTCCTCAAGGATCTAGAACTAGAAACACCATTTGACCCAGCCATCCCATGACTGGGTGTATACCCAAAGGATTATAAACCATGCTACTTTAAAGACACATGCACATGTATGTTTATTGCAGCACTATTCATAATAGCAAAGACTTGGAACCAACCCAAAAGTCCATCAATGATAGACTGGATTAAGAAAATGTGGAACATATACACGATGGAATACTGTGCAGTCATAAAAAAGGATGAGTTCATGTCCTTTGTAGGGACATGGATGAAGCTGGAAACCATCATTCTCGGCAAACTATCACAAGGACAGAAAACCAAACAGCACATGTTCTCATTCACAGGTGGGAACTGAACGATGAGAACATGTATACACAGGGCAGGGAACAACACATACTGGGGCCTGTTGGGGGGTAGGGGGCTGGGGGAGGGATAGCATTAGGAGAAATACCTAATGTAAATGACGAGTTGATGGGTGCAGCAAACCAACATGGCACATGTATACCTGTGTAAGAAACCTGCATGTTGTGCACATGTACCCTAGAACTTATAGCATAATTTAAAAAATAAAAAAAGAATGGTGATAGAATCAGATTCTCCCCTTTGGAGCATTTGCTTTTGAGATAAATGGAGAGAGTTGGCACCTGGATGTGGGAGTAGAAGTGGGAAGACAGGCAGAGACAAAAATCTTCTGTTATGCAACTTGAACTATTCTAGACATTTCATGAGTTGCAGCTGTGCTATGCCAGAGCTGGCTGTATGTCTCCGACAACTGGTTGTGTGCATCCCTTTTCAGCTCTGCCTTCAGAGACATCTGGTTGGTCGGAGTGTTTATGCCACGCGAATTGGTTAATGCTGCAGATCAGGGCCCCTGTTCTTTTCGTCCAGATCTGGTTGTTAAATGTTTACCAGCACACCACTGGGGTAGGGGCGGGATGGTGTAGGAAGCAGGCAGAAGCAGCTACCTCCTCTGGGTCTTTTGCCTTAAAATCAATGTTCAACGGAATATGGTAACATGATTGTTATTAAGGCTATAATAAAGAAGACACTTAAATAGAAAAAATATATATATATAGCTAAAGTTTATTTAAATGAAGTAATCTTTGTCTTTTAATTGAAGTGAGTTAAAAGTATTGATATTGCTGATGCATTTAGAATTTTTTCTAAAATCTTGTTTTGTGCTATTTCTCTCTCGTCTCTTCAATATTTTTTTCTTTTTGTTTTATTTTTCCTTTGTTATTTTGGATAGCCAATTATTTTTCTGTCTTTTTCCTCATTACAACTCTCTGCTCTGCCTGTTAAGAAGTTATTATTTCTATATTTATTTATTAGCCTGTTAGCAAATTGTGAAATTAAACCAGTACCTTTCACGCCTTCCCAAGCATAGCTTGAGTACATTTAGAACACTAACTCAGATTACTACCCTCCCAATATATATGCCATAATTAGTCCAATATGTATGTCAAATCCTTTAGGTTCATTCTGTTTTCCCTCTTCTCCTTACGAATTAAACATTGTTGCTCTTTTTGTATGATCATGTCAGTTTGTATTTACGCATATATTTATCAATTCTTTACACTTCATTTCTTGTTGTATTCCAGGTTTCATATGTAGAATTATTTTTTTTCTGCCTGAATAACATCCTAGAGAATACTTTTAGTGAGGGTCTTTTGATAAATTTATTCAGTTTTTGTTTATATGAAAATATTTTTATTTTTCTTCATTCTTGAAAAATAGTTTTGCTTTATCATAGAATTCTAGATGGAGAGTTATTTTCTCTTAGTTCATTGAATAAATTTTTTTCCTGTAACTACCAACTTTCATTGCTGATGTTAAAACGTCAGACTATCTTAAGTAGAGGTGCTGCTGTGGATGTTACAATGCAGTGGTCTCTCTTCACTTGGGCTGTGGGATAGCAGCAAGTGTATTGGTTGCTAAAAGACACTAAGAGCAACATTTTTTGCAATCCAGTTTCATTAAACTTTCCTGGCATTCAGGATTCAGAGCACTCCATTCGTCTGTCTATTGAGCTTCTTCTTCATTCCATCAAGGACACATTCACTGTTTCAATATCCTTACTCTAAATATTGGTTCCCAGGCTCTCTTTCAGCCAAGGGAAGAGAAAATTTCATACCAAGCCTTTCTGCAGGAACACTTAGAAAGCCTTTAGCCTCATGACATTTTCTCTGCTTAACCCATCTACTGGCCCTGGAAACTCTTTGATTCAGGAGAGTTTGAAGATTCAGAGAGACTGTTTCCAATTCAAGCTGCTAGTATTCTAGAAACCTAAACTCTAGTGCTGTTTAGTCAGACTGGAGGGAGATTCCAGGGAGGGCTTATGTCTTGTGGAACACCAGGTCGGTCAATAGATGTAAAATAACAAATTCCTTCAGAGTGCTAGTGAACACTTGCCAGTGAACACTAGCATATCTTTTCTGATTTTTAATTGGAATGCATGGCTCTTATTGTTGTCATTATTTTACTTTATTCTACAGCAAGAGAGTCTGCTTCTGCAGTATTGTTGTACTGACATATAAAACATTTTAATATATCTCTTTAAGATAATGTAAAAGTTATGTTAATATTTGAAAAACATTTGCTGAGTGGCAGCGTGAAAAATGGACTTTGTGGTCACTCAGAACCTGCTCCTTATATTTGAATCTTTTATTAGTTGAGTGACATTAGGCAAGTTTTGTTTAACACATGCTCTCATTTGTAAAATGGAAATAGCAACAAACTACCTCCCAGAGTCTTTGTGAAGATTAAATGAACATAGCACAATGCATTATTCACTTCCAGTGGGTTATTAATGACTTCTTTAAGAGTATTGATATTTATATATCTCTAGCATCCAGCATAAGACTAGCACTAGTTTATGACAAATGAACGAATGAATGAGTGAATGAGAAAATGTTGCATAAAACAGTTGAGTCATAAAACACAGCAGTAAATAAGTTAGTATCAAAGGAATGATACGGATATTATTCTTCATCACCACTGCAAGTGTTGTTCAAAGCAATAGGAGATCAGTGGAGGCTGGAACAGGTTGAAAGTCTTATGAGTTTGTGAAATAACTTAGCCTTTAAAAGTTACTAAGGTTTGGGTAAGAGCAGGTCATGAACAAATGAACAGTATAAGCAAAATGTAAATTTTGGAAACCAACAAGATATGAGCATAGTGAGGTGTGATTTTGGAAGCTTGGGAAGCAGATTATGATGAAATTGGACCTTATTTTATATGTAGAAGATACATTGAAGGTGTAGAAGATACAATATAGTGTGGAAGTAGGAAGAACACGAGGTTTTGGTGTATCTAGAAATCATGCAATAGAAGCTCAGGCTAAGGTTCTAGTAGGGTAAGATAAATCAGCTCTCTGTTTCTTAAATATTTGTACCCAAAAGCGAAAATTTTAAAGGAAGATTGGAAATGGCTGCACATGTGCTTTAGACTGGATTGTTTCTAGTATTCTCTTTTATAGATGTGATGAAATGCTAGTAAGCTTGAAGTTAATTCATCACCAAATATTTATTGCACAACTAGTATCTTCCAGAATGTTTTAGGCACTTAAGATAAAGATATGGTTTAGATAGGCAAGATTCCTGTTGTCATGGATATAATGTTATTCTGGAGAAATCCAATAGTGATCAGGAAAGCAAAAAACCGAAATTCCCTAAAATAATTCCAGTGCTGTGAAGATAATACGGGGTAATGTGATAGAGTGAGCCAGGAAGTGGCAATATTTGATAAAGGGGCCTTGGAAAGTGTCCTTGCGAAGGTGCTATGTTAACTGAGATCTGACATGACTAAAGGGGTCACCATTCAGAGACAGAGTTCCAGAGAGAGGGAGAAGCAAGTGTAAATATTCAAAGGTGAGAAATAACTTCGTGTGCTTCAGGAGCTGAAAGAAGATTGGTGTGGCTGAAGAATAGTGAGCATGGAAGAGAGAGGTAAAAAATAAAGCTACAGAATTGGACAGTGGTAATATTATATAGAATTTTATAGCTCATGGTAAGAAGTGGAAATTTTACTTTCAGTGCAATGGGGAAAAGTCGAAGTTTTAAGTTTGTGGTGGTATGGTCAGATTTATCTTGGTAGTGGGAAAATTTACTATAAGAGAGCAAGAGTGAAGACAGGAAGACCAATTGCCCTGTGGTTGTTCAGGTGAGCTGAGTGGTGATTTGTACTAGCATGAGATTATTGGAGATGGAAAAAAAGCAAATAATTCAGGATATATTATATTATATATAATATTATTTCACTGGGTAGCACAGAACAACTGTTTTAAGCTCTGCCTCCAAAATATATATTATATATAATCTATATTGAATATATATTACAAATAATATATATTGAAGATATATTATAAATAATATATATTGAAGATATATTATATTATAAATTATATATTGAAGATATATTATATTATAAATAATATATATTGAAGATATATTATATTATAAATAATATATATTGAAGATATATTATATTATAAATAATATATATTGAAGATATATTATGTTATAAATAATATATATTGAAGATATATTATGTTATAAATAATATATATTGAAGATATATTATGTTATAAATAATATATATTGAAGATATATTATGTTATAAATAATATATATTGAAGATATATTATGTTATAAATAATATATATTGAAGATATATTATGTTATAAATAATATATATTGAAGATATATTATGTTATAAATAATATATATTGAAGATATATTATGTTATAAATAATATATATTGAAGATATATTGTTATAAATAATATATATTGAAGATATATTATGTTATAAATAATATATATTGAAGATATATTATGTTATAAATAATATATATTGAAGATACATTATGTTATAAATAATATATATTGAAGATACATTATGTTATAAATAATATATATTGAAGATATATTATGTTATAAATAATATATATTGAAGATATATTATGTTATAAATAATATATATTGAAGATAATTATGTTATAAATAATATATATTGAAGATATATTACGTTATAAATAATATATATTGAAGATATATTATATTATAAATAATATATATTGAAGATATATTATATTATAAATAATATATATTGAAGATATATTATATTATAAATAATATATATTGAAGATATATTATAAATAATATATATTGAAGATATATTATAAATAATATATATTGAAGTTATATTATATTATAAATAATATATGTTGAAGATATATTATATTATAAATAATATATGTTGAAGATATATTATAAATAATATATGTTGAAGACATATTATATTATAAATAATATGTATTCAATGTATATTTATTATAAATAATATGTATTCAATATATATATTATAAATAATATATATTCAATATATATTATAAATAATATATATTCAATATATATTATAAATAATATATATTCAATATATATTATAAATAATATATATTCAATATATATTATTTATAATAAATATGTATTCAATATATATTATAAATAATATATATTGAATACATATTTATTATAAATAATATATATTGAATATATATTATATTATAAATAATATATATTCAATATATATTATATTATAAATAATATATTATTATTTATATTTATTTATATATTTTATTATTATATTTATTATATTATATTATTTATATATATTTATATTATTATTTATATATTACTAATTATATATAAATAATATATATTATATATATTATATTTTAAGTAATATATATTAAATATATATTATATTATAAATAATATATATATAATAGGGATAGAAGCCAAGATGGCCAAATAGGAACAGCTCCGGTCTACAGCTCCCAGCGTGAGCGACGCAGAAGACGGGTGATTTCTGCATTTCCATCTGAGGTACCGGGTTCATCTCACTAGGGAGTGCTAAACAGTGGGCGCAGGTCAGTGGGTGCAGTGCACCGTGCGTGAGCTGAAGCAGGGCGAGGCATTGCCTCACTTGGAAGCACAAGGGGTCAGGGAGTTCCCTTTCCTAGTCAAAGAAAGGGGTGACAGATGGCACCTGGAAAATCGGGTCACTCCCACCCGAATACTGCCCTTTTCCAAAGGGCGTAAGAAACTGCGCACCAGGAGATTATATCCTGCACCTGGCTCGGAGGGTCCTACGCCCACGGAGTCTCACTGATTGCTAGCACAGCAGTGTGAGATCAAACTGCAAGGCAGCAGTGAGGCTGGGGGAGGGGCGTCCGCCATTGCCCAGGCTTGCTTAGGTAAACAAAGCAGCCAGGAAGCTCGAACTGGGTGGAGCCCACCACAGCTCAAGGAGGCCTGCCTGCCTTTGTAGGCTCCACCTCTGGGGGCAGGGCACAGACAAACAAAAAGACAGCAGTAACCTCTGTGGACTTAAATGTCCCTGTCTGACAGCTTTGAAGAGACCAGTGTTCCTCCCAGCACGCAGCTGGAGATCTGAGAATGGGCAGACTGCCTCCTCAAGTGGGTCCCTGACCCCTGAACCCTGAGCAGCCTAACTGGGAGGCACCCCCCAGTAGGGGCAGACTGAAACATCACATGGCCGGTTACTCCTCTGAGACAAAACTTCCAGAGGAACGATCAGACAGCAACATTCGTGGTTCACGAAAAACCACTGTTCTGCAGACACCACTGCTGATACCCAGGCAAACAGAGTCTGGAGTGGATCTCTAGCAAACTCCAACAGACCTGCAGCTGAGGGTCCTGTCTGTTAGAAGGAAAACTAACAAACAGAAAGGACATCCACACCGAAAACCCATCTGTACATAACCATCATCAAAAAACAAAAGTAGATAAAACCACAAAGATGGGGAAAAAACAGAGCAGAAAAACTGGAAACTCTAAAAAGCAGAGCACCTCTCCTTCTCCAAAGGATCGCAGTTCCTCACCAGCAATGGAAGAAAGCTGGATGGAGAACGACTTTGACAAGTTGAGAGAAGAAGCCTTCAGACGATCAAACTACGAGCTACAGGAGGAAATTCAAACCAAAGGCAAAGAAGTTAAAAACTTTGAAAAAAATTTAGATGAATGTATAACTAGAATAATCAATACAGAGAAGTGCTTAAAGGAGCTGATGGAGCTGAAAGCCAAGGCTCGAGAACTACGTGAAGAATGCAGAAGCCTCAGGAGCCGATGCAATCAACTGGAAGAAAGGGTATCAGCGATGGAAGATGAAATGAATGAAATGAAGTGAGAAGGGAAGTTTAGAAAAAAAAGAATAAAAAGAAACGAACAAAGCCTCCAAGAAATATGGGACTATGTGAAAAGACCAAATCTACGTCTGATTGGTGTACCTGAAAGGGACGGGGAGAATGGAACCAAGTTGGAAAACACTCTGCAGGATATTATCCAGGAGAACTTCCCCAATCTAGCAAGGCAGGCCAACATTCAGATTCAGGAAATACAGAGAACACCACAAAGATACTCCTCTAGAAGAGCAACTCCAAGACACATAATTGTCAGATTCACCAAAGTTGAAATGAAGGAAAAAATGTTAAGGGCAGCCAGAGAGAAAGGTCGGGTTACCCACAAAGGGAAGCCCATCAGACTAACAGCGGATCTCTTGGCAGAAACCCTACAAGCCAGAAGAGAGTGGTGACCGATATTCAACATTCTTAAAGAAAGAATTTTCAACCCAGAATTTCATATCCAGCCAAACTAAGCTTCATAAGTAAAGGAGAAATAAAATACTTTACAGACAAGCAAATGCTGAGAGATTTTGTCACCACCAGGCCTGCCCTAAAAGAGCTCTTGAAGGAAGCACTAAACATGGAAAGGAACAACCGGTACCAGCCGCTGCAAAATCATGCTAAAATGTAAAGACCATCAAGACTAGGAAGAAACTGCATCAACTAACGAGCAAAATAACCAGCTAACATCATAATGACAGGTTCAAATTCACACATAACAATATTAACTTTAAATGTAAATGGACTAAATGCTCCAATTAAAAGACACAGACTGGCAAATTGGATAAAGAGTCAAGACCCATCAGTGTGTTGTATTCAGGAAACCCATCTCACATGCAGAGACACACATAGGCTCAAAATAAAAGGATGGAGGAAGATCTACCAAGCAAATGGAAAACAAGAAAAGGCAGGGGTTGCCATCCTAGTCTCTGATAAAACAGACTTTAAACCAACAAAGATCAAAAGAGACAAAGAAGGCCATTACATAATGGTAAAGGGATCAATTCAACAAGAAGGGCTAACTATCCTAAATATATATGCACCTAATACAGGAGCACCCAGATTCATAAAGCAAGTCCTGAGTGACCTACAAAGAGACTTAGACTCCCACACATTAATAATGGGAGACTTTAACACCCCATTGTCAACATTAGACAGATCAACGAGACAGAAAGTCAACAAGGATACCCAGGAATTGAACTCAGCTCTGCACCAAGCACACCTAATAGACATCTACAGAACTCTCCACCCCAAATCAACAGAATATACATTTTTTTTCAGCACCACACCACACTTATTCCAAAATTGACCACATAGTTGGAAGTAAAGCTCTCCTCAGCAAATGTAAAAGAAGAGAAATTATAACTATCTCTCAGACCACAGTGCAATCAAACTAGAACTCTGGATGAAGAAACTCACTCAAAACCTCAACTACATGGAAACTGAACAATCTGCTCCTGAATGACTATTGGGTACATAACGAAATGAAGGCAGAAATAAAGATGTTCTTTGAAACCAATGAGAACAAAGACACAACATACCAGAATCTCTGGGACACATTCAAAGCAGTGTGTAGAGGGAAATTTATAGCACTAAATGCCCACAAGAGAAAGCAGGAAAGATCCAAAATTGACACCCTAACATCACAGTTAAAAGAACTAGAAAAGCAAGAGCAAACACATTCAAAAGCTAGCAGAAGGCAAGAAATAACTAAAATCAGAGCAGAACTGAAGGAAATAGAGACAGAAAAAGCCCTTCAAAAAATTAATGAATCCAGGAGCTGGTTTTTTGAAAGGATCAACAACATTGATAGACCGCTAGCAAGACTAATAAAGAAAAAAGAGAGAAGAATCAAATAGATGCAATAAAAAATGATAAAGGGGATATCACCACCGATCCCACAGAAATACAAACTACCATCAGAGAATACTACAAACACCTCTACACAAATAAACTAGAAATTCTAGAAGAAATGGATAAATTCCTTGACACATACACTCTCCCAAGACTAAACCAGGAAGAAGTTGAATCCCTGAATAGACCAATAACAGGAGCTGAAATTGTGGCAATAATCAATAGCTTACCAACAAAAAAGACTCCAGGACCAGATGGATTCACAGCTGAATTCTACCAGAGGTACAAGAAGGAACTGATACCATTCCTTCTGAAACTATTCCAATCAATAGAAAAAGAGGGAATCCTGCCTAACTCATTTTATGAGGCCAGCATCATCCTGATACCAAAGCCGGGCAGAGACACAACCAAAAAAGAGAATTTTAGACCAATATCCTTGACGAACATTGATGCAAAAATCCTCAATAAAATACTGGCAAACCAAATCCAGCAGCAAATCAAAAAGCTTATCCACCATGATCAAGTGGGCTTCATCCCTGGGATGCAAGGCTGGTTCCATATATGCAAATCAATAAATGTAATCCAGCATATAAACAGAACCAAAGACAAAAACCACATGATTATCTCAATAGATGCAGAAAAGGCCTTTGACAAAATTCAACAACCCTTCATGCTAAAAACTCTCAATAAATTAGTTATTGATGGGACATTTCTCAAAATAATAAGAGCTATCTATGACAAACCTACAGCCAATATCATACCGAATGGGCAAAAACTGGAAGCATTCCTTTGGAAAACTGGCGTGAGACAGGGATGCCCTCTCTCACCACTCCTATTCAACATAGTGTTGGAAGTTCTGGCCAGGGCAATTAGGCAGGAGAAGGAAATAAAGGGTATTCAGTTAGGAAAAGAGGAAGTCAAATTGTCCCTGTTTGCAGACGACATGATTGTATATCTAGAAAACCCCATTGTCTCAGCCCAAAATCTCCTTAGGCTGATAAGCAACTTCAGCAAAGTCTCAGGATACAAAATCAATGTACAAAAATCACAAGCATTCTTATACACTAATAACAGACAAACAGAGAGCCAAATCATGAGTAAACTCCCATTCACAGTTGCTTCAAAGAGAATAAAATACCTAGGAATCCACCTTACAAGGGACGCGAAGGACCTCTTCAAGGAGAACTACAAACCACTGCTCAATGAAATAAAAGAGGGTACAAACAAATGGAAGAACATTCCATGCTCATGGGTAGGAAGAATCAATATCATGAAAATGGCCATACTGCCCAAGGTAATTTATAGATTCAATGCCATCCCCATCAAGCTACCAATGACTTTCTTCACAGGATTGGAAAAAACTACTTTAAAGTTCATGTGGAACCAAAAAAGAGCCCGCATCGCCAAGTCAATCCTAAGCCAAAAGAACAAAGCTGGAGGCATCCCATTACCTGACTTCAAACTATACTACAAGGCTACAGTAACCAAAACAGCATGGTACTGGTACCAAAACAGAGATATAGATCAATGGAACAGAACAGAGCCCTCAGAAATAACTCGGCATATCTACAACTATCTGATCTTTGACAAACCTGAGAAAACCAAGCAATGGGGAAAGGAGTCCCTATTTAATAAATGGTGCTGGGAAAACTGGCTAGCCATATGTAGAAAGCTGAAACTGGATCCCTTCCTTACACCTTATACAAAAATCAATTCAAAATGGATTAAAGACTTAAACGTTAGACCTAAAACCATAAAAACCCTAGAAGAAAACCTAGGCATTACCATTCAGGACATAGGCATGGGCAAGGATTTCATGTCTAAAACACCAAAAGCAATGGCAACAAAAGCCAAAATTGACAAATGGGATCTAATTAAACTAAAGAGCTTCTGAACAGCAAAGGAAACTACCATTAGAGTAAACAGGCAACCCACAAAACAGGAGAAAATTTTTACAACCTACGCATCTGATAAAGGGCTAATATCCAGAATCTACAATGAACTCAAACAAATTTACAAGAAAAAAACAAACAACCCCATCAAAGAGTGGGCGAAGGACATGAACAGACACTTCTCAAAAAAAGACACTTATGCAGCCAAAAAACACATGAGAAAATCCTCACCATCACTGGCCATCAGAGAAATGCAAATCAAAACCGCAATTAGATATCATCTCACACCAGTTAGAATGGTGATCATTAAAAAGTCAGGCAACAACAGGTGCTGGAGAGGATGTGGAGAAACAGGAACACTTTTACACAGTTGGTGGGACTGTAAACTAGTTCAACCATTGTGGAAGTCAGTGTGGAGACTCCTCAGGGATCTAGAACAAGAAATACCATTTGACCCAGACATCCCATTACTGGGTATATACCCAAAAGACTATAAATCATGCTGCTATAAAGACACATGCACACGTATGCTTATTGTGGCACTATTCACAATAGCAAAGACTTGGAACCAACCGAAATGTCCAACAATGATAGACTGGATTAAGAAAATGTGGCACATATACACCATGGAATACTATGCAGCCATAAAATGATGAGTTCATGTCCTTTGTAGGGACATGGGTGAAATTGGAAATCATCATTCTCAGTAAACTATCGCAAGAACAAAAAACCAAACACCACAGATTCTCACTCATAGGTGGGAACTGAACAATGAGAACACATGGACACAGGAAGGGGAACATGACATTCTGGGGACTGTTGTGGGGTGGGGGGAGGGGGAGGGATAGCATTGGGAGACATACCTAATGCTAGATGACAAGTTAGTTGGTGCAGCGCACCAGCATGTCAAATGTATACATATGTAACTAACATGCTCATTGAGCACATGTACCCTAAAACTTTAAGTATAATAATAAAAATAAAAATTAAAAAAATATATCTAATATATAATATAACACATAAATTATATATTATATTATATATAATATACATACAATTAATATATATTATATAATATATAATATAATATATTGTATATGTATTATATATAATACATATTATATCACATATATAATATTGTATATATAACTGTATATTAATTATAGATATAAAATATTATATATATTACATATAGTATATTAAATGTAATATACTATATTTAATATAATATATATTATATATATTTCATTAAATATATAATAATAATCCATATAATATATAACATATAATATATATATTATATATAACATATAATATATATAATATTATATATAACATATAATATATATAATATTATATATAACATATATTATATATAATTTATAATATATAACAATATAATATATAATATATAACAATATAATATATGATACGTCATATAACAATGTAATATATGATACGTCATATAACAATGTAATATATGATACGTCATATAACAATGTAATATATGATACGTTATATAACAATGTAATATATGATACGTTATATAACAATGTAATATATGATACGTTATATAACAATGTAATATATGATATATTATATAATATATGATATAACATATGATATATTATATAATATATGATATAATATATGATATATTATATGATATAATATATGATATATGATATATTATATGATATAATATATGATATATGATATATTATATGATATAATATATGATATATGATATATTATATATCATATACAATAATATTATATATAATATATCATATACAATAATATTACATATAATATATAATATGTAATATTATAAGATATATTATTTTTATATTTAATATATAATATATATTATATATAACAATATAATATATAATATATTAATATATACTAATATATTAATTCATTATATAAAATATTAATATATAATAATATAATATATAATATATAATATATATGTTATATATATTATCTTTATACAATATAAATATATAATAAAAATATAATATATTATATTTAATATAATTTTACATTAAATATATGCTATTTAGTATAATTTTATATTAAATATATGCTATTTAATATAATTTTATATTAAATATATGTTATTTAATATAATTTTATATTAAATATATGCTATATAATATAATTTTATATTAAATATATGTTATTTAATATAATTTTATATTAAATATATAATATAATATATATTAAATATACATTTAGTATTATGTATATTTACTATATATTATATTTTATATAATATATATTTAATATAATATATTATATTATATGTAATATATATTTGATATAATATATTATATTTATTTAATGTATATTTAATGTAATATACTTTATTTCATTAATATATATTTAGTGCAATATATTATCATTAATATATATTTAATACAATATATTACATTTAATATACTATATTATATTCAATTAATATATATTTACTCTAATATGTTATATTTAATTAATATATATGATATATTAAATTTAATATAATATAATATATCATATTATATATATGATAGGTTATATTAAATAAAATATGATATATCATATTAAATATAATATACAATATATAAATATAATATAATACAATATATAAATAGATATACATATAATACAATATATTACAATATACACAATATATACAATATAATATACAATATATAAATAATATATATATAATATACAATTTATATTAATAATATATATAATATACTATATATAAATATATGCAATATAATATACAATATATAAATATAATATATAAATATAATAACAATAAACATTATTGTTATATTATATTATATATCATATAATATAAATAATATATTATATGATGTATTATATGATATATGTTATTATTATACTATATTATTCATAATACAATATAAATAATATATTCATATATAAATATATGAATAATGTTTTATTATATAATATATAACATATATTATCATATTATATTAATATATAAATAAGATATTATATTATATATTATGTATTATATCAAATTATATTATATATAATTAAATATAATATATATTAAATATATATAATATATTAAATATATCTAAGATATTAAATACGATATATATTAAATATATATAAGATATTAAATATGATATATATTAAATATATATAAGATATTAAATATATATATTAAATATATATAGGATATTAAACATAATATATATTAAATATATATAATATTAAATACATAATATATTAAATATAATATATTAAATATATATTATATTAAATATATAATATATTAAATATACATTATATTAAATATATAATATATTAAATACTTTATATTAAATATATGTTAAATATAATATATTAAATATATAATATATTAAATATATATGATATTAAATACATAATATATTAAAGACAATACATTAAATATATATTATATTAAATATCGATTTTATTAAATATAATATATATTAAATATATAATATTAAATATAATATATTAAATATATATTAAATATAATATATTAAATATATATTAAATATAATATATTAAATATATATTACATATAATATATTAAATATATATTACATATAATATATTAAATATATATAATATTACATATAATATATTAAATATATATAATATTACATATAATAAATATATATATTCAATATAATATATTAAATATAATATATTGAATATATATTATATGAAATATAATATATTAAGTATATATTATATGAAATATAATATATTAAGTATATATTATATGAAATATAATATATTAAGTATATATTATATTCAGTATAATATATTAAATATATATTATATTCAGTATAATATATTAAATATATATGATATTCAGTATAATATATTAAATATATATGATATTCAGTATAATATATTAAATATATATTATATTCAGTATAATATATTAAATATATATTATGTTCAATATAATATATTAAGTATATATTATGTTCAATATATATTACATTATATATTATATTGAACAGATATAATAATCATAATATATCATATTAAATATATATTATATTAATTTTAATACATTATATTGAATACATATTATGTTAAATATAATATATAATTGGTAATATATTTTACATTTAATATTATATTATATGTAATATATGTTATATATAATATTAAATTATATGCAATAGATATTATATGTAATTTATAATATATTACATATAATATATAGTATATATACTATATAATTTATTATATATTATATATTTTATAATAATATATATTTTATAATTCATATATAATATTATATAACATATAATATATATAATACATAATATATTATATAATATAATATATATTATATATTATATAATATGATATATATTATATATCATATTATATATAACATATTATTATATTATATATAATATATTATATATAATATATAATTATATATTATATATAATATATTACATATAATATATAATATAATATATTTTATTAAATATAATATTATATAATATACAAAATATAATATATGTTATATATAATATAATATATACTATATTATAAATATAATATATATTACGTTATAAATATAGTATATATTACATTATAAATATAATATATATTATATTAGATTATAATATATATTACATCATATTATAATATATATATTATAATATGTATTACATTATATTATTATAGATATATTATATTATAATATAATTAATATTATAATACAATATATATTATATTATAACATATATTATAATATATATTATATTATAATATATATTATATTATAATATTAATTATATTATATATATTATATTATATATTATTATATTATATATATTATATTATAATATATATTATAATATGATATATTATAATGTATATTATAGCATAAATATAATATAATATATTATATTAGAAATATAAGATAATATAGTATATTATAAATATAATATTATATATTATAATATAAATATAATATTATATATTAATGTATAAACAATATTATATATTGTTATAAATATGATATGATATATTGTTATAAATATAATATTATATATTAATGTATAAACATAATATTATATATTGTTATAAATATAATATTATATATTTTTATAAATATATTATATAGTTATAAATATAATATTATATGTTATGTTACAAATATAATTTAATATATATTACTTAATAAATATATTATAGTACAATATAATATAATATATATGATAATATAGTATATATTATAAACATAATATAATATATATTATAAATATAACATATATTATAAATATATGATATATATTATAAATATAATATATATTATAAATATAATATGATATATATTATAAATATAATATAACATATTATACATTATAAATGTAATATAATATATATTATAAATATAACATATATTATATAATAAAATATAACATATATATTATAATATAATATAATATTTATTATATATACAAAATAGCATAATATAATATGTATTATATATTATATATAATACACATTATATTTATTGTACATATTATATATATTATAATTTATGTAATATATTTATTTTATATTATATATTATAATATATTATATAATATAATAAATATATACTATAATGTAATATATAAATTATATTAAATATATATTATATTAATATTGATATAATATATATTAAATATATAGTTAATATAATATATATTATATTATGTATATATAGTAAATATGTTTTATATGGTATGTAATATATATTAAATATATTAAATATATATTTTATAAAATATTTAATTTATATTATATATATTCTATTATACATTTAATATTTAATATATTGAATATTTAACATATACATTAAATTAATATATAGGAATTTAATATTAAATTAAAGATTTTAAATATCTTTAATGGATTTTAAAAAGGATTTCTTTCATCAGCCCCAAAAATATACATTGAAGATAAAAGAACTTAATACTAAAATGCTGAAAACCAAATAGTTTTTCAATGTTTATGTATTTTGTAAAATATGGAAATAAAACATAGCCATCTATATGATTGTTATACTTATTTTTACTATGCTTAATATAATGCATTAATCATATATGATAATTTTTATAATAAGTATGGCACAACTAAAATAACTCAAGGAAATTATTCTCCCACTAGTCATATACATTTTAAGAAATTAATCTTTACATTTGAATTCTGCCATGCTATCGGAAATCACCCCTTTTATAAACTTGACAAAGCAACAATAATGATTTTCGTACTTTAGTGAAATTATTCCAAATCTAATTTTTAATGTTGTGTAAAATTTGACAAATTTTGTCATATTTTCAAAAGAAGTTTTTTAAAGAAGTTTTACTAAAAGGAAGATTTGGTTCATTTTTTCAACTCCCTTTGTGTGATACAGCCTAGGCCTTTGAAGTGTAAATTCTGGTAGCTCAGCAAAGTGAAAGTATCCTATTTATCTGCTGACTAGCCCCGGTGTAAGATTCTTTATGCCGCTCGCATTTGTGAAACCAGGACCTGAGGAGATCTACCTTTTGAATAACAAGAAGAGAAGAGGAGTCTAGTGGCTAAATTATTACCCTGATATCAGCACTTCAGGAATTCTATCTTTATCTAGCTCTTGCACTTAATCATTTAACTCTTCTCATCCTGCTCTTTGTGTAGAAAAAGAAAATAATATTTTGCCCATGTCTTATAAATGTTCTATGGCTTAATTATTGTTTGCAAACTTTTCTGAGCTTTCTGAAGAACGGTAGACATAATTATTCAGTTTTACAGATATACTCTGCTTAAGAGTTTTTCTGACTGCTGATTTGAAGATTATCCAAATTCATCCCAGGGATGCGTGAGAGGTTTTGTAATGCTGATTACGTATCACTGGGGAACAAATTAAGCCCATCAAATGCCTAGCATATCAATCTCAAATCACACTCTACTTGAACTAGGGGCCCTGTGTTTTATTTACTAGATGAGCACTTTCCTCTCCAGATGAATTAGCTCTTCTACAATGTGTTATTTGGTATAGTGGGGCCTTAGCAGGCAGGGGATTTTGGACTTTTTGACAAAAGGATACTTGTTGATGCCTAGGTTGTGGGCCTATTTTAAAACTGTTAAATGAAAGATCAGCATGCAATATTTATTATACTATTTTTAAAGAGCAGGTTAACCCCAAGATTAAATGTTAAAATTTATAAGGAAAGTTGAGAAAGCAATGTGACCATATTTATTGAATCTTACTTTCATTTCCTGAAATTCATATAAATAAAAACACTGGTAAGTAAGGATAAATAAGAAATAAAGGCCCATCATTTGGAAGAAATTTGAACAAATTTTGGTAAATTCACACTAGGGTGAAAATTGCTAGCTGTCCACCAAAATCGATTCTCTTCTTCTTCCATAGTAATCAAGTCATAGCTGGAATGTGACTGCCTGGCTGATCTTCCAAGGTCCCCTTGCATCTATGTGTGGCCTTATGAATCAATCCTTGCCAATGGAAAGTGAATGGAAGTGATGTGTGTCAGTCCCAGGACTGACCATAGACCTCCTGCATGTGCTCCTTTATGCTATTTCTTCAGTTCAGGGTGGGAATGGGAATGCCCAGAGCAACTTTGGAAGCTATATGCTGAGGATGCTAGAACTGCCATCAGCCTGGGACCCTGAACAACTGTATGAAACCAGGTACCTGTGGGTGGGAAAAAAACTGGCTGGAACTATTAGATGAAAGAAAAATAAACATGTTTTTGGTCATTGCAATGTTGAGATCTCTCTTTAGTAGCAGTTTAGTTATTTACCCTAATTAATACACATACTATGGAATATTATGTAATCGTTAATAGGTTACATAGGGAAACAACTGAATGGGGGGATTTTGTTACATAGGGAAAGTAAATGCAAAGAAGTTTATATAATGTGATCTAACTATTGTAAAATAAATATAGAAGCATATAACCCAGCACGATATACAGAGGAGGTGGAAATTGAACAACCAACCAACAAATCAAGGGGAAGTCAGTAAGGAAGGAATTTCATAGGTGCTATGTAAGGTAGGTTCTGAAAGGAACAGTAGGGAGCATACTTAGGTCATCTTTTTCAAATTCTATGACTTCTGAGTCCATTATGATCTTTTATTCTATGTTTCAAATGTCTACGTAGCATCATCATCTGGATATTCTGCAGGTATTTTATATATAAAAATGTATTCTCTTTCTCCTTTTGAGAAACAATAAGCATATGTTAAGCAAGTAGTTTTGACCACCTATACAGTTTCAGGACTTGTGATATACATGCTGGGTGATACAAAAATTAAAAGAAAATGATCCTTGCCTTTCAGAAGTACATAATCAAATGAAAAAGGAGCCATAAAGAGATAATTTCAAGAAAACGTAGTAAATATGCTTTGATACAGTTAGGCACAGAGAAATGTAGTAGATTTGAAGAAGGGTCTCTTAAATCAAATTCAGATGTTAGGCTGATTTTCAGGGCGAAGCACAAAGTAGCATCCCTGAGCCTGATGAATCTTTATGCATTAGTGACACATTGTCTTAATGCTTTATGCAAATTTGTGATGTGCTATTAATATTAATTTACATGTTAGGAGGTAAATATGTGTTATGTTTATGCCTCCATTCCCAGGCAAAGTACCAGGCACACAGTGTGCTAGGGAATAAGGTAAAGTGATGGTTCTTGTCCTCAAAGAACTCAAAGACTTGTGGTTGGTAAAGATGTGTAAGATAAGTTGTCATAAAGTGTTAAACTGAGTTTCAGAGAGCATCCTTTTTATTGTAACAAATATTGACAAAGATTAAAATATAGTTAATCCCAGTGGAGGGCTGCTCTGTAACATTCCATGTAGTACAACTTGGCTCCGGGGTTTTTCTTATCAACCCTCTTATCCTCTGGATTCAGGGGTGTATTGAGAACTGAGGATGCTGAGAGCAGGAATCAGACCCTTGAGAAGTGTGGGAGGAAAGGGCGCTTAATAGATTCCTTGAAAATGCACCCAACCCAAACACATGGGACAAAACCAGAAGTAACATTATAAGGTTATCTACTTCGTTATTTATCCTTATATTCATATTTCTTGAGTACTGAAGGCAAGAATTGCAACTTTCCACTTTCAAATGCTTTCAAAACCATTCAAAAGAGGACAATACTTGATGGGTGGTATTTTAAGTGCTTAGTGAAATTTTGTTGGAACTGATACTCCATTTTTCTTTTCTGAATAATGACCCCAGAGAGAGAAATAATCTTAGAACCATAGAGCTATAAACATTCAAAGTTGGAGGTATTTAAAGGTCATCCAGTTTAACCATTCATTGATGCTTTAGCTCAAGTTTTTTATTATGACATTTCATATCTTCTATAGATGTGAAACCACCCGCTATAGAAAGATGATCAAGTAGCAACGGTTTAAGAGCCCAATGGGTGTAATTGATATCTGTATGGTGCCAATATTAGCTTGCCAGGACTGCTGTAATAAGTACCACAAATTGGATGGTTTAAGCAACAGAAATTTATGATTTGCAGTTCTGGAGGCTAGAAGTCTGAGATCAAGGTATGGATAGGTTTGGTTTCTTCTGAGGGCTTTCAGGAAAGGATCTGTTCCATGCCTTTCCCAGCTCCTGGTGGTTTACTGACAATCTTTGGGATTCATTGACTTGTAGAAGTATCACCCTAATCTCTGCCTTCATTTTCACATCACTCCCGCTGTATGTGTGTCTGTGTCTAAAATTTCCCTTTCTTATAAGAACACCAGTCATATTAGATTAGGGGACCATCCTACCCTAGTATGAACCCTGTTAATTAATGATGTTTGCAGCAACCCTATTTCCAAATAAGGTCATATTCTGAGGTACTGTGGTTAGGACTTCAACATATACATTTAGAGGAGAACACAATTCAACCCGTAACAGTGCCTTTAAAACATAAGCATATATTCAATACCTGACTCTCCCCAGAATACTCCATACAGGTTTTTACTTTTTTACACCTCTTATGTTATTGTTCCATATTGATAGATTTCTCTTCTGTTGTAATGCCACTTTGTGCTGCTCTTATCTCTATTAAACACTTAGATAATTGTGATTTGAGATATAATTGTTTATGTGGCTAGAGTTTGGGATACAAAAATCAAACAACAGATAAAATCTCCAAATTTTAATTATTCTTTTATTCTCTCATTCAATACATATTTATCAAGAAAGCAATATATGTACCAAATGTTCTAGACACTGAGAATGTGGAGGTGAATACACATGGCTAGCCAGGTCCCAACCCTCATGGATAATACATTCTAGTGGGAGATGTGAGTGATTCCTCAGCTTCTATACAAATTGTTTTGGAAAATTTATTAATAGATTAAGATAAATTCTGACTGGCTTCAGATGGTGTTGAGTGGCCTAAAGATGTAGGCCAAGACATCTTTCAGGATCACAGAGGCATTGTTTTATAATGATTAAAAACTTAAAATTACATATTGAGGCACATGTATACGTATGTAACTAACCTGCACAATGTGCACATGTACCCTAAAACTTAAAGTATAATAATAAAAAAAAATTAAAAAATTAAAAAAAATTAAAAAAAGATACCCAGAAAAAAAAGAAAAAAAAATTATATATTGAGTATGAATTGGTTATTGATTAGCTATATGACTTTGTGTAAACTACTTATCCTCTTTGAAATTCAAATTCTTTAATTTTTTTGTTCTTTTCAGTGTGATTTCTTCTTTAACCTATAAGTTATTTGCAATTTCTTGTTTTTTTAGGTTTTGAACTAGTAAAATATACGAAATTTCACATTTACGTCAGTATTCAGCCTGAATCTGCTCTGCCCACTTGATCTTACAAAGTCCAGATAGCTAAATGTCCATTTTATAGTCATTTCTGGCATGTTTTGTGTTCATGAAAGTTACCGTCTTATCATCATAACCATATGGGTAAATAAACAACAATTTTATTTGAATTTATATTACCTAAAAATTTCACTTTGAAATATAAGTAAGCATACATCTGTAATGAAATGAAAACATCTCATCATATGCTTTATATGTTGAAATCCCCATGAGTCACTTGGGAGTATAGTGTAAATTTATTACTGTTAGAGGGACATACTGAAAAACTGATAATTGTGAAACCTGCCAATTTATTTGTACAGACACTGAATATTAAGGATATGAAAATACTATAATAATTAGGGAAATGAATTTATTATTACGGAAATGCTAAGAGTATATTAGCTAATTTTAGGAAGAACATTATACTCTTTATCACAAATGTGTATTGCAGTGAAGTTATAATACAAGGCAGAAAAGTGAAAAATAGATTGTGATGCAATTTTTCCCAGTTGAAGTAGTTGACATTAAATAAAACCTTTAAAGATTGTATTTTGTTTTAAGTTATTTAATATTATTTAGATTCCTATGACTTACCTAAATTCAGTGGTCAATTCAGTTCTTATATAACTTGAAATATCAGCAATTGATACAGCTGATTACTGCTTCTTCCTTGAAATATTTTCTTCACTTGGATTTCAGGTCACTACACATTCTCCTATTGACAGACATCTATTTCCTCTACATTTTTTTTTCTCTATTATAAGTAAAGCTGCAATCAACACTTTCATGCTTATTTTTTATGGGCCTAAGTTTTCAATTTTTTCATACTGAGGACTGGAATTGCTAGACATAGGTGTATGTATAATTTTATTTTAAAAACCTGCGGTCGGGTGCAGTGGCTCATGCCTGCAGTCCCAGCACTTTGGGAGGCCAAGGTGGACGGATCACAAGGTCAAGAGATGGAGACCATCCTGGCCAACATGGTGAAACCCTGTCTCTACTAAAAATACAAAAATTAGCCGGGCTCAGTGGCGTGTGCCTGTAGTCTCAGCTACTCGGGAGGCTGAGGCAGCGGAATCACTTGAACCCAGGAGGCGGAGGTTTCAGGGAGCCAAGATCGTGCCACTGCACTCCAGCCTGGTGATACAGCGAGACTCTGTCTCAAAAACAAAACAAAAACAAAAACCCTGCTAAACAGTTTTCTAAATTGGTTCTACCATTTTATACCCCCACCCACGGTATATGAGAGTTCCAGTTGCTCCTCATTCTCTTGGTAGAGTCAGTCTTTTTAGTGGTAACTATTCTAGTGGGTGTGTAGTGATGTCTAATTGGCTTTAATTTATATTTCATCCATGCCAATGATTAAACATATTTTCCTTTGTATATCTTCTTTTCTTTGTATACACAATTTTTGAAGTATCTGTCTAAATCCTTTTTCCCATTTTTAATTGGGTTGTCAGTCTTTTTTATCATTGATTTGTGAAATCTTGGTAATTTTTTTTCAATTTGGCTTGTCTTTTTTTCTTAAATGTCTTTTGATAAGAAAATTTTAATATTTATAATGCATGATTTATAATTTTTCTTTATGTTTAGTGTTCCATGAATTCTACCTAAAAAATTATTATCTAGCCCACCTATTTCTGGATTCTACTTTGTTCTATTGTTCCATTTTTCTTCTATACTTATGTCAATATGACACCATCTTAATTACTCTGGTTTTATAGCTTTATAGTAATCATTAGAATCAGGCAATGTTTTTTCTTCAACTTTGTTCTTCTTTCTTAAGATTGCTTTGGCCATTCTAGGTTGTTTGCATTTTTATATAAAGTTTAGTATCTGCTTGCCAATTTCTATAAAAAACCTGTTGGGATTTTGACTGGAATTGTATTGAGTCCATAGCTTAATATGGGGACAAATGCCATTTTTATAATATTGATGCTTTTAACCCATTGCTATGGTATATCTCATTTCTTTAGGTTTTCCACAGTTTCTCTCAGCAATGTTCTGAAGTTGTCTAAATAGAGGTCTTTTATATCCTTTGTTAAATGCACTGCTGGTGTTTTGGATTTTTTTTATGGTACTCCTAACAAAATGTATTGATTTTTTAAAAATGTCAATCTCTAGTGCTTGTTGCTAGTATAAACAAATACAATTGATTTTGTATATTGACCTTGTATCCTAAGACTTGGCTGAATTCAGATATTAGATCTATTAGTTTGTTTGGGTGAAATCCTTTGGATTTCCTAGGTATACATGTATTTCACTTGTAAATAAGTACAGTTTTACTTTTTCTTTCCCCATATTCATACCTTTTATTTAAAATGTCTTCTTGCATTAGGTAGAATCTCATTACAATGTTGAAGAGAAGTTCTGAGAGCAGATATACTTACGTTTTTTGTGTGACCTCAGTGACAAATTGTTCAATATTTTACTACTAAGTATAGTATTTACTGTAGATTTTTTGTAGAAGTGCTCCATTAAATAAATAAAAGGATATTTTATTTTATTTCTAGTTTTCTGAGAGGTCTTTAAAATCATGAAGCAGTACTGGCTTTTGGCTAAACCTTTTATTGCAATTATTGCAATAATTATATAGTCATTCTCTTGCATTATTGGAGTTAATTCTGCCATTTCTTGATTGTCTTTTGGAATGAATTGATACTTCTTTATTAAGTACTTTTACATTTATATTAATGAGGGATATTGGACTGTTATGTTCTTTCCCTGTAATGTCATTGCCAAGATTTAACTTTAGGGTATTAGTTTCAAAATGAGTAAAAGTGTTCCTTGCTCTTCATTTTCTGAAAGTGCGTTGGTGATATTGGTTTTTTTTTGCTTTATTGTTTGATAGACTTCACCATTGATGCCATCTTGGCAGAAGCTTCCTTTTTAGGAAGGTTTTAAATTATTGATTTAATTTCTCTAATGGATGCAATGTAATATAGATTGTCTATTCTTTTGTTTTGAAAAGTTGAATGTTATTTGCTTTTTATATTTATTATTTTCTTATCATTATCATTTTATTTCTTCTATTTATCTTGAGTTACTTTGTTATTCTTTCTCTAGCTTCTCAAAGTGAAAGCTTAGATCTTTGATTTTACACTTTTCTTGTTTTTTTAAGTAAACATTTAAAGCCCTAAATTTCTCTCTTAGAACCTCATTAGATGGCATGTCATACATTTTGACATGTTGTGTTTTTATTATGATTAAGTTAAAATACTTTCTAATGTGTATTTGTGATTTCCTCATCGACACTGGATTATTAAGAAGTGTATGCTTAATTTTCAAATATTTTGGGGGATAATCAAGATATATTATTGATTTTGAGTTCTAATTAAACTGTTTTCTGGTCAAAGAATATGTTTTGTGTGCAAAAAACACTGCAAATTTTTAAGGCTTATTTTATATGCCTCATCATATGATCTAGCTTGGTGAATATTCTATGTGCACTTGAAAAGCTTGTATATCCTCAGCTGCTGGGTGTGGTGCATTGTAATTTCATTAGGACAAATTTGTTGATAATGTTCAAATTCTTCTTCAAATTTATATTGATTGATCTAATTGTTTTATCGATCATTGATAGAAGAGTATTAAAGTTTCCAACAATAATTATTAATTAATTATTTTTTCTCTTTAATTCTGTTAAATTTTGTTTCATTTACTTTGACTCTGTTGTTAGGTTAACATTAAGAATTGCTGTTTTCTTGATAAATTAGCCATTTTATCATTATGAAATGCCCCTCTTTATCTTAGCAAATATTCTTTATTTTGAAGTCTCTTTTGTTTAATATTAATTGGGTCATGCTATTTTTCTTTTGACTACTGTTTATATAGTGTGTATATATGTACATATATATATATATATACACACACACATATACATATATATTTCTGTCTTTTTTCTTTTAACTCATCTGTGACTTTCTACCCAGTCTCTCTCTTTACCTCCTTCTTAAGGTCAATAACTCGCATATTTTCCATTTTGAGGCTGTTTTATGGATCTTTTAGGTGTGCTTCATTCTTTTTTATTCTTTTTGACCATATTTCCAAATAGCCTGTATTTCCAAATAGCCTGTGTTTAAGCTTACTAATTTTTTCTTCTGCTTGATCAATTGCTTAGAGGCTGATGTATTCTTCAGTATGCCAATTGCATTTTTCACCTCCAGAATTTCTGCCTGATTCTTTTTAATTATTTCAATTTCTTTGTTAAATTTATCTGATAGGATTCTGAATTCCTTCTTTGTGCTATCTTGAATTCATTTGAGTTTCCTCAAAACAGTTATTTTGAATTCTCTCTCTGAAAGTTCACATATCTCTGTCTCTCTGAGATTGGTCCCTGGTGTCTTATTTAGTTCATTTGGTGAGGTTATGTTTTCCTGGATGGTGTTGATGCTTCTGATGTTCATTGGTGTCCGGGCATTGAAGAGTTAGGTATTTATTGTAGTATTCTCAGTATGGGCTTGTTTATACCCATCATTCTTCAGCAGGCTTTCTAGATATTTGAAGGGACTTGGATGTTGTGATCTAAGTTTTTGGTCACTGCAGCTATATCTGAATTAGAAGGCACCCCAAGCCCAGTAACACTGTAATTCTTGCACTCGTAGAGGTACTGACTTGGTAGTCTTCAATTTGATCTGGAAGAATTCTTTTGATTACCTGTCTTTTTATTATCCTGTGGCCTAGACAGCAGAGATTCTTCTTCTCTTCATTTACTTTCTCCCAATCAAATGGAATCTCTCTATGTGCTGAGCTACCTGGAGCTGGAAGAGGGGCACCAAAAGCACCCCTGTGGCCACCATCACTGGGACGGTGCTGGGTCAGACCTGAAGCCAGCACAGCATGGGGTCTTGTCCAAGGACCACTGTAACCACTACCTGGCTACCATCTATATTTGCTCAAGGTCCCAAGGCTCAACAATCAGCAAGTGGTGAAGCCAGCCAGTCTTGTGTCCTTGCCTTCATGACAGCAAGTTCCTTTGGGCCCCAGATGGGTCCGGAGATATATCCAGGAGCCAAGGCCTAGAGTAACAAATCTTAGAAATTTACCTGGTACTCTATTCTACTGTGGCTAAGCTGGGGCTAAAATCACAAGACAAAGTCCTTCCATTCTTCCCTCCCCTTTCCCCAGGCAGAGAAGTCTCTCCCTGTGTCCACCACCACCACCACAGGCCCATGGGAGTACTGCTAGGATGTTGCCGATGTTCACTTAAGGCCCAAGCACTCTTCAGTCAGCTTGTGGTGAATGCTGCTAGGCCTGGGACTGATGCTACAGGGCAATGGGCTCCCCTCTGGCCCAGGATAGGTCCAGAGATGCCATCCAAGAGCCAAGGCTAGAATCAGAGACCCCAAGATCCCCCTAGGTGTTCTTTCCCACAGTGGCTGAGCTTGTGCATAAGCTACAAGACAAAGTCCCACTTACTCTTCCCTTTGCTTTCTGAAGCAGAAGGAGTCTCTCTTCACAGCCACCATAGCTATGAATATGCTGGGTCACACCTGAAGTCAGCATGTCTCAGAGTCTCACCCAAGGCCCATGGCATGTTCTACCCAGTTACCACTGCTTATTATTTAGGGCCCAAGGACTCTTCACTCAGCAGGTAGTGAATACTGCCAGGACTGGGTTCTTCCCTTCAAGGAAGTGGGTTCCTTTTTGGCCTAGGTTGCGTGTAGACATGACATCTGGGAGTGAGGGCCTGGGATGGGGGCCTCATGACTCTCCCTGGTGCCCTATCCTATTGTGGCTGAGCTAGTATCCAAGTTGCAAGACAAAGTTCTCTTTACTCTTTCCTCTCCTCTCCTTAATTACAAGGAAGGGGTCTGTTTTGGAGCTGTCAGTTTCACTGCCTGGGATTAGGGGAGGGGTGTTGCAAGCACTCCCTTAGCCTCCCAAACTGGTATCTCACAGGTCACATATCTCCTAAGTCTACCGGCTCTGAGCCCAGCACAGCACAAAGACTTGCCTAGGAATTGCAGTCCTTATGGCCTAGACAACCTTTCAAGATTATTTAGGACCCCAGAGCACTTTAGCATGTTGGCAAGTCTAACTGAAACTCAAGTTCCAACTGCTATAATGTAGGATTCCCCTCTGGCTATGGCTGGTCCAAATGCTCCCTCCATGGACGTCAGCTGAGTATTTCTCAGTGTTGACAGCACTGAGTTTTAATGCAAAGTCTCACAATCACTATACTCTCTCTCCCCCAAGTGCAGAGTCTCTGCCTCATATGGCTGCTGCTGGGGAATGGGGGAGGGGTGGTGTCGGCATTTAAGACTGTCTTTTCTACACTCTTCAGTGCCTCTTTCAGTGAACTGAGATTAAAACCAGGCGCTGTGATTGCTCACCTGATTTTTGAGTCTTAGGAAGATACTTTTCCTTTGTGTAGATAGTTGTCAGTTTGGTGTTCCTGCATGGAAGATGATTGGTGGAAGCTTCTATTTGGCTATCTTACTCCACCTTGTCCAAATTTTATTAACTCTTTTTGAAATATTAATGAGAGTGATATGTGGGAGTGGGTTGAATATGTGTGTATCTGTACATGCACGTATGTGTGTGTGTGTGCATGTGTGTATGAGTGTATGTAGCTCACAGACAGAATTTACCATATAGTCTTGATTGGAAGTCTTGCTTTTTTATCAATAAGTCAGGAATAATATTTCCTTTATAAACTTATTGCAATCTTTAAATTATGTAAGCCATGTAGAGTGGTTAGCAAGATGCCTGGCATATAAAAAGGCTCAGTAAATATTATGGGGCATTTTACTATGAAACAGAGTCACTCACTCAGTAATTGCAAAGTGGTAGATAACAAAAGCATGAAGAGATAAAAATTGCATCAGCCCTGAAATTGCATTTGGAATATATTTTTTGAGATAATCTCTTTCTGAAAGTATAGACACTATGGGTTGGGGTTGGAATTCTTGCTTTGGCCTCTGGATATTGTTTTTGAAGGAATATTTCTCTCCTGGGTAGCTATTCAGTGAAAGGCAGTGTTAAGAGAAAATTCTCCGTGAGTCTTTTGTGTTCCTGAATGTCTTGCAAAGTGGTTCACCGAAGCCCTTTGATCTAAACTATCTTTTCAAGGATATATGCACAGTGAACATCTATACAAATTCCTATCTAATGTCAGCCCAATTTACACTAAGAATTTCTGGATTTTCTTTGATTAATTTTTCAAGTGTCTTTCCCTCCTCTAACACTCCAGGCTTTCACAGATCCCACCAGATAATAAAGATAACACAATTTTCTCATGGGCTTGTGGGTGGAAGCAGCTCAGTATTATGCTCAAAGGCATATGCTGCTGCCAATGGGCCTGGGTGGTATTCTTACTACTATTGCCCATCTGAGCATTATGACCTCTTTTGAACATGACCTTCAGGAAAGTGAATCTGCAGAGCTCATCAAAATGTTATTTGCCCAAAGTAGGCATCTTGGTTTTCCAAGATTTCTTCTGTAGTTTCTTTTACTCTCCTAAACTTTACACATCTGTAGATGGTCTCTTAACTCATAAGGTTGCAATGGATATTGGGATTCTCTCACCCATGATTGATTATGTGTCTCCCCCTCTGGAAGAGCTGTGCGGTTTGATAGGAATGGGACTAAGTTACTTCTTACTCCCCAACCTTGCGTCGTCCTTTAAATTCCGCATATAACATTCTGAGTAGAGAAGAGGTAGAATGAGATGCAGCAACATATACATTAAAAATTTCTTTAAAAATCTCACCAATGTCAAGCTGATTCTTCTACTTCAGCAACAGTTTATTAGATCTCTTCAAAGCAACACTTTTGGAGGCTAGGTATTTGAGGGAAGTCTGTACCTCTTACTTTTAAAATACATTTTATTGTGATGAAAGCTCTCAGAGTTGCCTTTTCTGTGCAGCTGTCTGTTATTTGAAATATTTGCTTGATATTATTTTTCTACATCTGGTTCAGCAATAATTTCATGGGAACATTACTTGTCAATTCTGCATTCTCACTCTTTTTGACACCCTCCCTCCAACATTGACTCCCTAGTGGTGATAAGTGCAGTGAAGAGCCACCAGCAGAAGAATGAAATACTATTTCTTCTTTGTTCTCACCTTACTCACAGTGATCATTGAATTTGTTTTACTGGCTGAAACTGGAGCTGCCTCTGCAAGCAATTAAGTTGTCTTAACCAAACAAATGCAGTGACTGAAATTTCCACACAGCACAGTGTTTCACATTTACTGCATCTGGGGCTTGAGAAAAATCACACTTTAAAGCAATATGAAATAAGTTTTACAAAACTGGCAGGAATTCAATGTTACATAGAAAATCAAGTAGGCTAAACTACTGAGAAATCAAAAGTATATAAGTGTAAGAGAAAATTATATGGCGGAATAAGGCAGGAGAAATATAAATAAGAGCAAATAAGGCCTTTTAGGAGTGACAAAAAAGAAGGAAATATCAAGATAACAACTATATTTTCTAAACACAAATTTGCCTTACAACAGCAATTCTGGACACAAGACAGTGCATTCCAATTTTAGAAAGTGTTTTATTTTTATTTCCCTGGAGGTACTTTTAATTTTTCACAATAGTATCTTAAAAACATCATTTTAGAATAAATTTACTTTTGATTTACATCTTACATGTGTGGTGAATGCCTTCAAAGATGTTAATGCACTGGTGTTGTTGAGCTGGAAAGTGTGTCTCTCCAAATTGATAGGTTATACTTAGGAAATTGATGGTACAAAGAAGCAGGCACACACCTAGACGATAAATCAAACTAAGCACCATATATTTTCTGACCCTGATACTTAAATGATAACTGGTTTACTTAAGCAACAACTCTCCAGTCATTTTTGTCAGTTTTCTGAATGATGACGCATGTATTTTGCAGCTCTTTTTATTTATTGATATTGGCAGAAGAATAAATGTCAGTTTGTATAAAAAGATGTCCAAACAAGTCCCATCTTCTCATTTTATTACATAATGATTATAAATACATATTTCAAGTTTGATGACCTTGAAGGAATTCTTGGTAAGGTTACCAAGGGGAGGAAAGGTTGTCAAACAAATAGACTTTATGTGGCGATTTATAGTCTTCTAGAGAAAGGTATTCTTAGCACTTCCTAGTCAACCTACAATGTAGAACAAGGAAACAAAAAACCTGCAGGCTGTAAATAGTGTGTTCAAAATTCAACCTTCAAAAAAGGAGCAGAGAAACCTTGTGAATGGAATATAAATAGAGAAGGAAGACTGGAAGAAAATTAGTTGTAATAGAATATACACGGATTTTGAGAACGTTGGACTGTGCTCTCCATTCTTACACAGTGTGGGCATTTTGTGGCAATAAAGTTCATTTCCCTTTTTAAACAGATGTTTCCTCTCATCTTAAATAATTATTTCAAAAAATTCGAACTTACAACATTATTAAAATAGAAACAAAATCTGAGCCTTATCAAAATCTGACTGATTATGTGGGAATCCTTAGTTGACCCTAAGTGAGAATTAACCCCTAAGAAATAGCAGTAACCAGGAAAATTAGCAAGATGTGGAAGTCAGTAAAGACCAGAAAAGGGAGTGAGAGCCAGGGTATTCACATTGGAATGAAAGCTCTGATAATTTCTCATGTATATACTTCCTTTAGAAAAGGCTGTTAGCATATCTGAGTCTCAGTTTCATCATATATAAATGTGAAAATAATATTGCCTTTCCTACATCGAAGGATTGCTGATCAAATCAATTTTCCATCTCCCATCAGGGATTGTAGTTTATGGACCCTAGCATCTTTTTATCATCCCTCATCCCTCTGCTATCCTTTCTTCCTTCTTTATCCGAATAGATTCCATGACCTGCCATTGGAATTACTCCCTTTCAAATGTGCCCAACTCCTTTTTCCCTGTTTGTTTCTTCAAATTCATTTGGCAGAACCACCACTTGGGTTAAATCTAACTCTCTACATACTTTGCACCTGCATTCATAAAACTGTATGTATCTGGAAAAACACAAAATCATGAAAAGTAATTTCAGTTTAAATTCATAACAATTATTTTCAAGTAGGCATTTAGTCCTATGCTACCACATTGGATTTTAATTTTATTTCTTGTTTTATTTTCTGGTTAAATTTTACTACTGTGATTATGTTAACTTCATAAAATGAATGCCTTTTTCTATTGTTTGTAAAAGTTTTTATATGGTAGGAACTATTTGTTACTAAATGTTTAGTAGAATTAATCTGTAAAGCTGTCTGGATTAATAAACAAAATCAAAAATAAAAAAGAAGGTAATATATTGGATACCACAGAAATACAAAAGATCATCAGACACTATTGTAAACAACTATATGTTAAAAACCTGGAAAACCTAGAGGAAATGGATAAATTCCTGGTCACATATAGCCTACCAAGATTGAACCAGGAAGAAATAAAAGAAATAAACAGACCAATAATGAGTAACAATATTGAATCAGTAATTAAAAAAACTCCCAGAAAAGAAAAGCCCAATATTGGATGGCTTTATTGCTGTGTTCTACCAAACTTATAAAGAAGAACTAACACCAATTCTTTTCAAACTATTATAAAAATGTGAAGAGGAGGAACTTTTTTTCTAACTCATTCTTTGAGGCTAGCATTACTCTGATCTCAAAACCAGACAAGGACACAACAAAAAAGAAGACTACAGGCCAATCTCCCTGATAAACATAGACACAAAAATTCTCAACAAAATGCTAGCAAACTGAATTCAACAACACATCAAAAAGATAATACACCATGATCAAGTGGATTTATCCTAGGGATGCAAGGATGATTTAACGTCTGCACATCAATAAATGTGATACATCACATCAACAGAATGAGGGACAAAACCATATGATCATCTCAATAGAAGCAGAAAAATCATTTGATAAAATTTAACATCACTATAATAAAAATTCTCAACAAGCTAGACATAGAAGGAACATACTTCAACATAATAAAGCCATTTATGACAAACCTGCACTTAACATCATACTGAAGAGTGAAAAGCTGAAAGCCTTTTCTCTAAAAACTGGAACAAGACAAGAATGCCCATTTTCACCACTCCTATTCAACATGGGACTGGAAGTTCTAGCCAGAGCAATCAGGCAAGATAAAAAAGTAAAGGGCATCTAAATTGGAAAAGAAAAAGTCAAACGGTAGTCCTTCAACATAAATAAGGTTAAAAAAAAGTTGAATTGTCCCTCTTTGTAGATGACATGATCTTATATTTAGAAAAACCTAAAAAAACCTCTTAGAACTAATAAAAAGTTGGAGGATACAAAATCAACATACAAAAATCAGTAGCTGTTTTTGTACACCAACAACAAACTGAAGGAAAAAGAAATCAAGAAAGCAATTTCATTTGCCACAGTTACACAAAAAGAGAAAATACCTATAAATTTAACTAAGGAGGTGAAAGACCTCTACAAGGACAAGTACAAAACACTAACGAAAGAAATTAAAGAAGGCAGAAACAAATTAAAAGGCATTCATGCTCATGGATCAGAAGAATTAATATTATTAACATAGTTCTACTACTCAAAGCAATCTATAGATTTAATGCAATCCCTGTTAAAATACCAATTATGTTTTTCAAAGAAATAGAAAAAAAATCCTACAATTCACATGCAACCAAAAAAGAACCTGAACAGCCAAAGCAATCCTGAACAAAATAATCAAAGCTGGCAGAATTACACTACCTGATTTCAAAATATACTACAAAGCTATACTAACCAAAACAGCACAGTATTGGTATAAAAATAAACATAGACCAAAGGAACAGAATAGAGAACCCAGAAGTAAACCCACATATTTACAGCCAACTTTTAAACAAAGGTGCCAAGAATATACATTAGGGAAAGGACATCCTTTTCAATAAAGGTGCTGATAAAACTGGATATCTTATGCAGAAGAATCAAACTAGATCCCTATCTCTCACCATATACAAAACTATTCAAAATGGATTAAAGACTTCAATGTAGACCTGAATCTATGAAACTGCAGTAAGAAAACAGAGGGGTGACATTCCAGGACATCAATCCAGGCAAAGATTTTGTGGCTAAGACTTCAAAAGCATAGGCAACAAAACAAAGCAAAAAAATAGACAAATGGGACTATTAAACCAAAAGGCTTCTGTGCAAGAGCAACAACAACCACCACCACCACAACATAACAGAAAACCCCAAAACAATCCACAGAATGAAAATATAACATGGTGAATGGGAGAAAATATTTGCAAACTGTTTATCCAACAAGGAACTAATATCCAGAATGTGCAAGAAACTTAAACAACTCAACAACCACAAAAACCAAGTAATCTCATTACAAAGTGGGCAAAAGTATGAATAGACATTACTCAAAAGAAGACATACAAATGGCCAACAAGTATGTGAAAAAATGCTCAACATCACTAATCAAAAATGCAAATCAAAGCCACAATGAGATACCATCTTACCTCAGTTATCACTGTCACTTTTGGTTATGAAAAAGATAAAAAAATGCTGGTGACAATATAAATTAGTACAGCCAATATGAAGCACAGTATGAAGTTTTCTCAAAAAACTAAAAATAGAACTACCATACAATTTAGTAATTCTACTACTGGGTATTTACCCAGAGGACAAGAAATTAGTATGTCAAAGGGATACGTGCACCCCCATGTTTATTGGAGCACTATTCACAATAGCTAAGACATGGAATCAATCTAAATGCCTATCACTGAATGAATGGGTAAAGAAAATTTGACATATACACTCAATGAAGTATAATCAGCCATAGAGAATGAAATCCTGTCATTTGCAGCAGCATGGATGAAACTGGAGGTCATTATGTTAAGTGAAATAACCCAGGCACAGAAATACAAAATAGTGCATGTTTTCTCTTATATGTGGAAGCTAAAAAAGATTATCTTATGGAGGTAAAGAGTAGTATGATGGATACTAAAAGCTGGCAAGGTTGTGTATGTGTGTGGAGAGGGGATGAGGAGAGGTTGGTTAATGGGTACCAACAGTTAGGTAGTTAGATAGAGGGAATACAATTAGATAGAAAGAATAAATTCTAGTGTTCAGTAGCAAAGCAGGGTGACTACAGTTAACAGCAATATATTGAATATTTCAAAATAGCTAGAAGAGAAAATTTGAAATGCTCCCAACACAAGGAAATGATAAGCATTTGAGGTGATATCATAAATACCCTGATTTAATCATTACACATTCTATGCATATATCAAAATATCACATGTGTTCCACAAATATGTACAAATATTATATACCAAAAAAAAACTAAAAAAATGATCTGGGCTTAGTTGAAGTGTGTGTGTGTATGTGTGCATGTGTGTTTGTATACCTTAAACTACAGTTTTAGTTTAAAAATATTTATAGTTCCGCTCTAATGTTTTTCTTTTTGAATTCAGTTTTCTGAGAATTGAATTTTTTTTTTTTTTTTTTTTTTTTTTGAGATGGAGTTTTGCTCTTATTGCCCAGGCTGGAGTGCAATGGTGCTATCTTGGCTTACTGCAACCTCCACCTCCCAGGTTCAAGTGATTCTCCTGCCTCAGCCTCCAGAGTAGCTGGGATTACAGGTGTGCGCCAACACGCCTGGCTAATTTTGTATTTTTAGTAGAGATGGGGTTTCTCCATATTGATCTGGCTGGTCTCAAACTCCTGACCTCAGCTGATCCACCCGCCTCAGCCTCCCAAAGTGCTGGGATTACAGGCATGAGCCACTGTGCCTGGCCCTGAGAAGTGATGAATTTTAATTACATGTTCAATTTGGATGACATAAAACTGTGCATATTATTCTTATTTTTTAAACAGAGGTATAACTGAGAGGTATTGTAGATTTGGTTCCAAACTATTGCAGTAAAGCAAATATCACAATCAAGCAAATCACACAAATTGTGGGGCTTTCCCAGTGCATATAAAAGTTATATATACACTGTACGCAGTCTTTTAAGTGTGCAATAGCACTAGGGGTATATACCCAATAATGGGATTGCTGAGTTGAATGATATTTCTGTTTTAAGTTCTTTGAGAAATCACCAAACTGCTTTCCACAATGGCTGAACAAATTTACATTTCCACTAGCAGTATATTAGCCTTCCCTTTCCTCTGCAACCTTACCAGTATCTGTTATTTTTTGACTTTTTATTGATAGCCATTCTGACTGATGTTAGATGGTATCTCATTGTGGTTTTGATTTGTGTTTCTCTAATCAGTGATGTTGAGCTTTTTTTCATATGATTGTTGGCCACATGTATATCTTCTTTTGAAAAGTGTCTGTTCATGTCCTTTGCCTACTTTTTAATGGGGTTGTTTTTTGCTTGTAAATTTGTTTAAGTTCCCCTTGTTTGTGTGTAGAAATACTACTGAGTTTTGTACATTAATTTTTGTGGGGAAAAGAAAGATCAGACTGTTACTGTGTCTATGTAGAAAGAAGTAGACATAAGAGACTCCATTTTGTCCTGTAATAAGAAAAATTCTTCTGCCTTGAGATGCTGTTAATCTGTAACCCTACCCCCAACCCTGTGCTCCCTGAAACATGTGCTGTGTCAACTCAGGGTTAAATGGATTAAGGGTTGTGCAGGAAGTGCTTTGTTAAACAAATGCTTGAAGGCAGCATGCTTGTTAAGAGTCATCACCACTCCCTAATCTCAAGTACCCAGAGACACAATACACTGCAGAAGGCCGCAGGGACCTCTGCCTAGGAAAGCCAGGTATTGTCCAAGGTTTCTCCCCATGTGATAGTCTGAAATATGGCCTCTTGGGAAGGGAAAGACCTGACCGTCCCCCAGCCCAACACCTGTAAAGGGTCTGTGCTGAGGAGGATTAGTAAAAGAGGAAGGCCTCTTTGCAGTTGAGATAAGAGGAAGGCATCTGTCTCCTGCTCACCCCTGGGCAATGGAATGTCTAGGTGTAAAACCCCATTGTATATTCCATCTACTGAGATAGGAGAAAATCACCTTAGGGCTGGAGGTGAGACATGCTGGCAGCAATACTGCTCTTCAAGGCATTGAGATGTTTATGTATATGCACATCAAAAGTACAGCACTTTTTTCTTTACCTTGTTTATGATGCAGAGAAATTTGTTCACTTGTTTTCCTGCTGACCTTCTCTCCACTATTACCCTATTGTCCTTCCAGATCCCCCTCTCTGAGAAACACCCGATAATGATCAATAAATACTAAGGGAACTCAGAGACTGGTGCAGGTGCCCGTCCTCCGTATGCTGAGCACCGGTTTCCCTGGGCCTACTTTTCTTTCTCTGTACTTTGTCTCTGTATCTCTTTCTTTTCTCAAGTCTCTCGTTCCACCTGACGAGAAACGCCCACAGGTGTGGAGGGGCAGGCCACCCCTTCAATTTTGTATCCTGAAATTATGCTGAAGTTATCAGATCAAGGCGCTTTG
>NW_009646203.1:0-108875 GCF_000001405.40 Homo sapiens
AGTTTTAGAAGTGCGTTTGAAGTGCCTGTGGGCTACCCAAGTAAAGACATCCAGTAGGTAGTTCTCCTTAAGGGCTAGCACAGAATGCTAGGCTAGAGGTGAAGATTTGAGAGCTCTACATTTTTTTATAGATGTTAACTGAAGCCACGGACATGCATGAGATCATTCAGGGATAGTATACGTAGAGTGAGAAGAAAAGAATGCAGAGGGGAATGAGAAGGTCAGAGAGGTAAAGGGAAAACCCGTAGAAGTAGAATGTGATGTTAACTCCCAAGGCAGGGCCCACAACCTTCTCCCAGAGAAGCCTTAAGGCCTAGGATCCTAGGGTCACAAAGGGATATTCTAGGATGTTTTGACTCTCTCTGTCTTTCTTTTTGCCAGTTGCCAGGTATAAACTCCGAATTGTTAAGCCACCAAAATTACCCCTAGAGAAAAAACCCAACCCTGATAAGGATGGTACGTATTGAGTTCTCTGACCTGTTTCTGTGGCCTGGGCTGGAGACCAGGGGCACCCAAAGCCAGTGGGCTGTGGCACACAATCTTTTGTTCTGCACAGGTCCAGATTATGAGCCCAACCTCTGGATGTGGGTAAATCCCAACATTGTGTATCCCCCTGGAAAGCTGGAGGTCTCAGGACGTAGGAAGAGGGAGGACCTGACAAGCACACTCCCCTCCTCTCAGCCACCCCAGAAGGAGGAAGATGCCAGCTGCTCAGAGGCCGCAGGGGTGGAATCACTGTCCCAGTCCTCCAGCAAGCGGTCTCCCCCTCGGAAGCGGTTTGCCTTTTCCCCCAGCACCTGGGAGGTATGCATTTTTGGGGATGGGAGTGGGACTTGGGCAGTAGGCGAGGGGCATGGGGAAGAGCCATTACAGTTCTGCTCTCTTAGCCATAGCAAAAGGTGAATGGGTTCAGAAATTACCTACATGCTTGGGTTGGGGAGAAGCCCAAATGGTGGCCTTAGACCACCCCCCCTTCCTGCCACTGCACCCTGGAGTAGAGGCTGAGGAGTCAGGACCAGTTCCTACTCTGTGCTCCTCTAGCTCACAGAAGAGGAGGAGGCTGAGGACCAGGAAGACAGCTCCTCTATGGCTCTCCCATCCCCTCACAAAAGGGCCCCCCTCCAGAGTCGGAGGCTTCGGCAAGCCAGCAGCCAGGCGGGGAGGCTCTGGTCCCGGCCCCCTCTCAATTACTTCCACCTAATTGCCCTGGCATTAAGAAACAGTTCCCCCTGTGGCCTCAACGTGCAACAGATCTACAGTTTCACTCGGTATGTGCCGGGGGCCCTGCGAGGAGGGGGAAGTGGGGGCCAGGGCCCCGGGCTGATGCCTTCCAATCCATCCCAGGCCCTGGGTTGCTGACCTGGTTTCCCTATCTGGGTCTGAGAGGACAAGTATGTTCCCAGTTCCCTTTTCCCAGGTGCATTTGTGCCCACATTGTGCCCACATTTTATGGCTTTAGTTTTTTTTTTCTTTTTAACAAGTTTTCAGTGTTCTTTGGGTATAGTTCTCCTTTAAAACATACATTCACTTGGGTCAGGTAACAGTTTCCCCACCATCCTCTGAAGATCAGCCAGTCTAAAGTCAGGTTTCCCCAACGGTTCCCACCTGCTTCTGCTAGGACTGGACTGCCTGGCACAGCTCCCTGCACCCCCAGGGGTGCAGAGAACCCAGTTGAGAAGGATTTTCCATTTAGCTCAGATAGTCCTGCTCACAGGAGGGTGAGGAAGGGAGTTTCTTGGGCCCTTTCCCAGTGTTAGGAGAAGTGCCTAATGTCTCAGGACAGGAATTTTCAAGTGGTGTCCGTCCTCAACCAAGATTCCTCTTACAGGAGCTGCTTGGCCTGATTCTGCTTTGTTCATGCTGTGGTCCAAGCCCTGGGCCCTCAGAGGGAGGGAGGGTTCAGGTGAGCCACGCACCACGTGGATGCTTTGCCACGTGCTCAGTTAGCAAAGAGCAACTCCAGGCCAACTTGCTACTATCCCCCTGGAGAGAAGGGCTAAAGCCCCTGGCCCCTGGGTAGAACATGCCCCAGAGAAGGGCATTCCCCAGACATAACATGCCTTTCCTTACCTCTCCTCCCTGTCCATAGAAAGCACTTCCCCTTTTTCCGGACGGCCCCGGAAGGCTGGAAGAATACTGTCCGTCACAATCTCTGTTTTCGAGACAGCTTTGAGAAAGTGCCTGTCAGCATGCAGGGCGGGGCCAGCACACGGCCTCGATCTTGCCTCTGGAAGTTGACCGAGGAGGGACACCGCCGCTTTGCGGAGGAGGCCCGCGCCTTGGCTTCCACTCGGCTAGAAAGTATCCAACAGTGCATGAGCCAGCCAGGTGTGAAGACTTGTTGTGCGTGGGCCCAAGGGGAAGAGACCTGAGGATCCTGACCCAAGGCCAAGTGTGGAAGCCTGGGTCACACCGTGGGGGTGGGGGAATGCATCTTCTATAGGAAACAGGGAGATTAACAGTGATCTGAGACCCTCAGGTGATGCCTGCCTGAGGTGAGACCTCCCCCACCAGTGTGGGGCGTGATGTGCCAGGAATCCATGGGCAAACAACTAAGGGGCAACTGGCCTTACCAAGACCAGCAGTCTAGGCAATAGTGAGCACACAACATGAGAAGCACAGTTAATAGAGGTTATGTACAAAGAGTACTTCTACTTTCCCTGGAGCAGTGCAGGGAGGCTTCAGAGAAGAGGCAGCATTTGAGCCTTGAGTGAAAGAAGCAGATGACCTGCTATGAGAGAGCATCCCAGGCCTAGGAAACAGCAATTGTGAAGTATAAACTCCTGAACTCTCTCCTTTTCTTACAGATGTGATGCCCTTCCTCTTTGATCTTTAACCCCAAGAAGCAACAGCCAGCTAATGCTTTATTAAAATTACCCTCACTAGCCTTCTGTGTGTGTCTGTGGAGGTGGGGTCTCTAAGGATGGGGTTAAGGGTGGAGGTGGAGATCAACTCCAAGGTTGGAGATGGAATGCCTTCAGCTTACAGATGCTCCTGAGGCAATGGGGCAGGTGCCTGCCGTGCAGCAAAGGGAGTCCGTAATTTTCTTTCCTCAAAGGAGGAAAATGCACAGCCTTCTAAAGCATCTTGGAGCAATTTCCATTTTTCTGGATTATGAAGATAATCTTGGCTGGATGCAGTGGCTCACACCTGTAATCCAGCACTTTGGGAGGCTGAGGCAGGAGGATCCCTTGAGCACAGGAGGTCAAGGCTGCAGTCGGCCATGATCACACCACTGCACTTTAGCCTGGGCAACAGCAAGACTCCATCTGTAAAAATTATTCTGGGAGATGCCCGTTTGTAGCAGCCAATTCTGTAAGCACCACACATTCATTCAATTGATACTCCTTAAGTGGCTACTGTGTACCAAGCTCAGGATAGAATACAGGTGCCAGGGAGAACTGCGCTGCATTCTCTTAGCTGCAATAGCGTTGAGGGCATTTGCTAAGGGAGCATAGAAAGGTGCTTTGGGGAGGCGCCATGTTTTGTTTTGTTTTGTTTTGTTTTTAAAGCTTACAGATGACTTTTTTGTGTGTGTGTGACAGTTTCACTCTTGCTGCCCAGGCTGGAATGCAATGGTGCAATCTCGGCCTACCGCAACCTTCACCTCCTGGGTTTAAGCGATTCTCCTGCCTCAGCCTCCCAAGTGGCTGGGATTACAGGCATGCACCACAAAGCCCAGCTAATTTTGTGTATTTTTTAGTAGAGACGGGGTTTCTCCATGTTGGTCAGGCTGATCTCGAATTTTCGACCTCAGGTGATCCACCTGCCTTGGCCTCCCAAAGTGCTGGGATTACAGGTGTGAGCCACCACACCCAGCAGGTGACTTTTTTTTTTTGAGACGGAGTCTCACCCTGTTGCCCAGGCTGGAGTGCAGTGGCACAATCTTGGCTCACTGCAACCTCCGCCTCCCAGGTTCAAGCGATCTTCCTGCCTCAGCTTCCCTAGTAGCTGGGATTACAGGCATGCACCACCAGGCCCAGTTAATTTTTGTATTTTTAGTAGAGACAGGGTTTTGCCATCTTGGCCAGGCTGGTTTCCAACTCCTGACTTCAGGTGATCCACCCGCCTTGGCCTCCCAAAGTGCTGGGATTACAGGCGTAAGCCACCACACCTGGCCTCTTGAGTTAATTTCTGTATGGTCAAGGTTCATTTCTGGCTTGTAGATGTCCAATTGCTCAGCCTCCCAAAGTGCTGGATTAAAGGTGTGAGCTGACTATAGCCTCGAACTCCTTGGGCTCGGGCAATTCTCCCACCTCAGCCTCCCAAGGAGCTGGGACTACAGGTGCGTACCACCACACCAGGCTAATTTTTTTTTTTTTTTTTTTTTTTTGAGACGGAGTTTTGCTCTTGTTGCCCAGGCTGGAATGCAATGGCACGATCTCTGCTCACTGCAACCTCTACCTCCTGGGTTCAAGCCATTCTCCTGCTGCAGCCTCCCAGGTAGCTGGGATTACAGGCATGCACCACCACACCCAGCTAATTTTGTATTTTTAGTAGAGATGGGGTTTCTCCATGTTGGTCAAGCTGGTCTCAAACTTCCGACCTCAGGTGATCCACGTGCCTCTATCTCCCAAAGTGCTGGCATTACAGGTGTGAGCCATCTCACCCGGCCACACCCGGCTAATTTTTTAAATTTTTTGTAGAGATGGAGTCTCACTCTTTCCCAGGTTGGTCTTGAACTGCTGGGCTCAAGCAATCCACCTGGTTTGGTTTGATTTTTTTTTTTTTTTTGAGATGGGAGTCGTGCTCTGTTGCCCAGGCTGGAGTGCAGTGGCACGATCTCGGCTCACTGCAACCTCCGCCTACCGGGTTCAAGCGATTCTCCTGTCTCAGCCTAGCAAGTAGCTCGGATTACAGGCACATGGCCACCAGGCCCCACTAATTTTTCTATTTTTAGTAGATACGGGGTTTCACCATGTTGGCCAGGTTGGTCTCGATCGCCCTGACGTTGTGATCCGCCTGCCTCAGCCTCCCAAAGTGCTGGGATTACAGGCACTAGCCAACTGATATTTTGTTGACTGAAGATTTCAAACACATACAAAGTCGGTCTAATGAACCCTACATATCTGTCATCCAGCTTCATCTCCCCACAGGCAATGTTATTAACACATTCATTCCCCTTTCCTGGAATTATTGTGTGTGTGTGTGTGTGTGTGTGTGTGTGTGTGTGTGTGTGTGTGTGTGTGTGTTTGAGACGGAGTCTCACTCTGTCACCCAGACTGGAATGCAGTGGCACTATCTCGGCTCACTGCAACCTCCGCCTCCCGGGTTCAAGCAATTCTCCTGCCTCAGCCTACCATGTAGTTGGAATTACAGGTGAGCGCCACCACGCCCAGCTAATTTCTGTATTTTTAATAGAGGGTTTCACCATGTTGCCCAAGCTGGTCTTGAACTCCTGACCTCAAGTGATCCACCTGCCTTGGCCTCCCTGGATTATTTTGAATCAATTTCTAGACATCATTTCTTTTCTCTAAAAAGACTGAACATGATACAATCATCACATCCAGGCCGGGCGCAGTGGCTCAAGCCTGTAATCCCAGCACTTTGGGAGGCCGAGGTGGGCGGATCACAAGGTCAGGAGATCGAGACCATCCTGGCTAACACGGTAAAACCCTGTCTCTACTAAAAATATAGAAAATTAGCTGGGCGTGGTGGCGGGCGCCTGTAGTCCCAGCTGCTTGGGAGGCTGAGGCAGGAGAATGGCATGAACCTGAGAGGCGGAGCTTACAGTGAGCTGAGATCGTGCCACTGCACTCCAGCCTGGGCGACAGAGCAAGACTCCGTCTCAAAAAAAAAAAAAATCACATCCAAAATTTTTAAAAATGTATTAGGAATCATATTCCTAATTTTCTAACTTTTTAAAATTTTTATTTCTTTTAGAGATGAGGTCTCCCTATGTTGCCAAGGCTGGTCTTAAACTCCTGGGCTCCCAAAGTGCTGGGATGACAGGTGTAAGCCACTGTGCCTGGCCCTAATTTTCTATTTTCTTAGCTTATTAGCTGAAATACTTCTGTAGAAAAATCTTCCTCTCTCAGGCCGGGCACAGTGGTTCATGCCTGTCATCCTGGCACTTTGGGATGCCAAGGCAGGCGGATCACCTGAGGTCATGAGTTGGAGACCAGCCTGGTCAACGTGGTGAAACCCCGTCTCTACTAAAAATACATTAGCCAGGCGTGGGGCACAAGCCTGTAATCCCAGCTACTCGGGGACTGAGGCAGGAAGATCACTTGAACCCAGGAGGTGGAGGTTGCAGTGAGCAGAGATCACGCCACTGCACTCCAGCCTGAGTGACAGAGGGAGACTTCGTCTCAAAAGAAAAATAGGGCCTGAGTTTCATTACCCTTCGCCATGCTGTTTGTCTCCAGCACACCCTCAGGAAAAGCTACTTGTGGAATAAGAGTCCTTGAGGCTGCAGGTCCCAGCTGGGGGGCTGTGGCCTCCCTGGTTGCAGGGGACAGCCTCAGGGCAGGGACAGCTGGCAGCCTTAGATCTGTGGGGAATAGGGAGAAGCCTGAGGACAAGGAAGGAATGAGTGAGGTTCAGGGCTGTTTAGGGATCCCACAGACACTCAGTGCTTAGAGACGATGCCAGATCTCACTCCCTCTCCGCTCTTCCCTCCTGCCCAACAGGCCTGCACAGAAACAAAGCTCTGCCTTCAAGGCCACCACTGCCCACCTGGGCTGGGCATAACTCCTGTCTTGAAGTGGCAGTGGGTGGTGCTTCACTCTTGAGAGAGTGGCTCCCTTGTCCAGAGGGCTCCCAGGTCTCTGCAACTGACCAGGGTTGAGGTAGTCTCACTTTTTCATTTTTCCTCCCTGCTTTCCTTGCTGGTAACTCCAATCTGATGTAGCTCCCGCCTCCTCATTTAAATTTTTATTTATTTTTCGTTTTGTCTTTGAGATAGGGCCCTTCAGTGGCACAATCACAGTTCATGTGCAGCCTTGAACTCCTGGACTCAAGCAATCCTCCACCTCCTGGGTTCAAGCAGTTCTCCTGCCTCAGCCTCCCGAGTAGCTGGGATTACAGACGCCCGCCACCACATCGGCTAATTTTTTGTATTTTTAGTAGAGATGGGGTTTCACCGTATTGTTCAGGCTGGTCTCAAACTCCTGACCTCAGGTGATCCACCTGCCTCGGCCTCCTAAAGCGCTGGGATTGCAGGCGTGGCCACCGCACCCAGCCTGGATGCTGATTTCTAAGTGATAGCCACTGCAGGAGTGGGTGAGGGGGACCAGGTCAGGTCATTTGCTCTGGGCCCACCCAGAGCTATCCGGCAGCCAGAGCCTCTTTCCTGCCACCCGAGTCTATTCAGCTCCCAGGAAGGAGGGGTCCTGAGTCCCAAGCTCTGCTTTCATCTGATTTGGCCTCAATTTGTCCCCATCATCTGCACTTCGTATACAGCCTTATCGCTGTGCACATTCTTGTTAACATCAGGGATTTTTTTGCTTTGTTTTTGTTTTTTGAGATGGAGTCTCACCCTGTTGCCCAGGCTGGAGTGCAATGGAGCAATCTCATCCCATTGCAACTTCCGCCTCCCAGGTTCAAGCGATTCTCCTGCCTCAGCCTCCCAAGCAGCTGGGACTGCAGGCGTGCACCACCGTATCTGGCTAATTTTTGTATTTTACTAAAGACGAAGTTTCATCATGTGGCCCAGGCTGGTCTCAAACTCCTGAGCTCTGGCAATCCACTCGCCTCGGCCTCCAACAGTACTAGATTACAGGTGTGAGCCACCACACCTGGCCAACATCAGGTTTAAGTTGCAAGTGGATCCCAAAATGCAGCAGATCAGAAAGAAAGTACAAAACAATACAGCGTTTACTAAGAAAAAATCTGCCTTTGCCCACTTTGCTCTCAACTCCTATACTTGCACCTAGTTTTCACTTATCAATTATTTTGTTATTTTTCTTTTTTTAGGCAGGATCGCAATCCCGGCTCACTGCAACCTCCACCTCCCAGGTTCAAGCAATTCTGCTGCCTCAGTCTCCTGAGTAGCTGGGACCACAGGCATGTGCCATCACGTCCTGCTAATTTTTGTATTTTTAGTAGAGATGGGGTTTCACCATGTTGCCCAGGCTGGTCTTGTACCCTCCCTGAGGTCAAGTGATCCACCCACGTCAGCCTCTCAAAGTGTTGGGATTACAGGTGTGAGCCACCGTGCCTAGACTTCAACAATTATTTGTTACGCATTTTCACTATACCAGGCCCTTGCCAGGTGTTAGGGATACAGCAAAGAAACCCAAATGGTTCCTCACAGTTTTCAGTCTAGATGTAAAGATACTAAACCAATACACTAATTATGTGCAATAATGCACAATGGTAATATTGAGTAAAGATTGGGTTATTGGCCAAGCATGGTGGCTCATGCCTGTAATCCCAGCACTTTGGGAGGCCAAAGCAAGATCGCCTGAGGTCAGGAGTTCAAGACCAAGCCTGGCCAACATGGTGAAACCCTGTCTCTACAAAAATACAAAAATTAGCTGGACATGATGGTGGGTGCTTATAATCCCAGCTACTCGGGAGGCTGAGGCGGGAGAATCACTTGAACCTGAGAGGCGGAGGTTGCAGTGAGAAGAGATCATGCCATTACACTCCAGCCTGGGCAACAGAGTGAGACTCCTTCTCAAAAAAAAAAAAAAAAAAAAAGATGGAGTTATTTTGAGAGAAAGCAATATTGGCATCTAATTTAGATTGGAGGGGAGATCAGAGAGGACCTTTCTAAGAAAGTGACATTTTAACTGAGACCTGTAGCATGAGGAGAAGTTAGCCAGGCTGAAGAACAGAAAGGAAAAGCATTCCTTTACTTTTTTTTTTTTTTTTTGAGACAGAGTCTTGTGCCGTCACCCAGGCTGGAGTGCAATGGCACAATCTTGGCCCACTGCAACCTCTGCCTCCCGGGTTCAAGCTTCTCCTGCCTCAGCCTCCCGAGTAGCTGGGATTACAGGGGCACACCACCACACCCGGCTAACTTTTTGTACCTTTAGTAGAGACAGGGTTTTACCATGTTGGCCAGGCTGGTCTTGAACTCCTGACCTCGTGATCTCCCTGCCTTGGCTTCCCAAAGTGTTGGGATTACAAGCATAAGCCACCGCCCCAGGCCGGAGGAAAAGCATTCTAATAGAGGCATTAGAATGGACAAAGCCCTGGAGGTAGAGACATACCTTGGCCTTTTGAGCAAACGGGATAAGACCATGGAAGAGAGAATACACTAAACAAGGGCAGAAAGATCCAAGGTAAAACTGGGAGAGGGGCAGGGTAGGCTTTCCTAGGCTATGACAGGGCATTTGGATTTTTTTCCAGTATGGTGGAAAGTAATTGAAGTAACTTACATAACTGTTTGTTGTTGTCGTTGTTAATCACAATTAGCCATTCATTGAAAGTGGCTTGTTGTGGGGAGAAGCCAACATGGAAGCAGGAACACCCATTAGGAGGTGACTGCGGTAAATCAGGCCGGTTGGAGGAGTAGTGGCAGTAGAGATGGAGACAGGGAGAAGAACAATTTGATGATGCATCGTGGAGGTCGAAAAAACAAGTCAATAGTAGTGACTGCAGGAGAAGAAAAGGCAAGAATGGCCGGGCGTGGTGGCTCACGCCTGTAATCCTAGCACTTTGGGAGGCTGAGGCAGCCGGATCACGAGGTCAGGAGATCGAGACCATCCTGGCTAACACAGTGAAACCCCATCTCTACTAAAAATACAAAAAATTAGCCGGTGTGGTGGCAGACGCCTGTATTCCCAGCTACTCTGGAGGCTGAGGCAGGAGAATGGCATGAACCTGGGAGGTGGAGCCTGCAGTGAGCCCAGATCGCGCCACTGCACTCCAGCCTGGGTGACAGAGCGGGACTCTGTCTCAAAAAAAAAAAAAAAGAAGGAAAAGGCAAGAATGACTCTGAGGTTTTTGGTTTGAGCAAGTAGGTGAATGGTGAGGAGAGGAAGCCTGCAGGAGTAGCAGGTTTGAGCGTTCTGTGTTTAGTATCTGTGAGACAAGTCCGGGCACGATGGCTCACACCTGTAATCCCAGTACTTGGGGAGGCAGAGGTGGGTGGATCACTTGAGCCCAGGAGTTGGAAACCAGCCTGGGCAACCTGGTGAGACCTCCTCTCTACAAAAAATAAATAAGCTGGGCGTGGTGGCGTGTGCCTGTGGTCCCAGCTACTTGGGAGGCTGAGGTGGGAGGATTGCTTGAGCCCAGGGGGATCAAGCCTGCAGTGAGTCATAATTGTGCCACTGCACTCCAGCCTGAGTAGTGACAGAGCAAGATCCTGTCTCCAATTAAAAAAAAAAAAAAAGGAATCTGTGAGGCCAGGGGCGGTGGCTCACACCTATAATCCCAGCACTTTGGGAGGCTGAGGTGGGAGGATCACTGAGTTCAGGAGTTTGAGACCAGCCTGGCCAACATGGTGAAACCCCGTCTCTACTAAAAATGCAAAAATTAGCCAGGTACGGTGGCTCACGCTTGTAATCCCAGCACTTTGGGAGGCTGAGGCAGGCGGATCATGAGGTCAGGAGTTTGAGACCAGACTGGCCAACAGGGTGAAACCCTGTCTCTACTAAAAATACAAAAATTAGCTGGGCGTGGTGGCGGGCGCCTGTAATCCCAGATACTTGGGAGGCTGAGGCAGGAGAATCGTTTGAACCCAGGAGGCAGAGGTTGCAGTGAGCCGAGATCGCGCCACTGCACTCCAGCCTGGGTGACAGAGCTAGACACTGTCTCAAAAAAAGAAAAAGAAAAAAAAAAATAGCCAGACGTGGTGGCACGCGCCTGTAATCCCAGCTACACAGGAGACTGAGACAAGAGAATTGCGTGAACCCAGGAGGCAGAAGTTGCCCTGAGCTGAGATCACACAGCTGCACTCCAGCCTGGGTGACAGAGCAAGACTCCATCTCAAAAAAAAAAGCGGGGGGGTGGGGCCGGGCACAGTGGCTCACGCCTGTAATCCTAGCACTTTGGGAGGCCGAGGTGGGTGGATCACCTGAGGTGGGGAGTTCGAGACCAGCCTGATCAACACGGAGAAACCCCGTCTCTACTAAAAAAAAAAAAAAAAATACAAAATTAGCTGGGTGTGGTGGCACATGCCTGTAATCCCAGCTACTTGGGAGGCTGAGGCAGGAGAATTGCTTGAGCTTGAACCCAGGAGGCGGAGGTTGTGGTGAGCTGAGCTCACGCCATTGCACTCCAGCCTAGGCAACAAGAGCAAAACTCCATCTCAAAAAAAAAAAAAAAAGGAATCTGTGAGACATCAGGGTGGTTATGTCAATGTCAAGTAGATATTTATAAGTCTAGAGTTCAGAAGAGAAGTCTGAGCTGAAAATGTAAATACACTGAGAGTCATCAGTATATAGATAGCACTTAATATCAAGTTCTATGTACTGACATAGAAAGATATCCACAAGGCCAGGCACGGTGACTCACGCCTGCAATCCCAGCACTTTGGGAGGCCGAGGCGGGTGGATCACTTGAGTTCGAGAGTTCGAGACCCGCCTGACCAACATGGAGAAACCCTGCTTCTATTAAAAATACAAAATTAGCCAGGCGTGGTGGTGCATAGCTGTAATCCCAGCTACTCGGGAGGCTGAGGCAGGAGAATCGCTCAAACCCGGGAGGCGGAGGTTGTTGTGAGCTGAGATGGCACCATTGCACTCCAGCCTGGGCAACAAGAGTGAAACTCCATCTCAAAAGGAAAAAAAAAGATAACCAAAATACAATTTGAGGAATTAAAAAAGAGTAGGAGAACAGTGTGTTCAAAATTACTCCAAATATGGCAGAAATTATGTTCACATATATATGAAGTCTAAACAGAGAAAACATCTTGATCAATATAGGTGTCAAAGAGCAATGGCCATCTTTGAGGACTGGGTAGGCAACATAAATGGGGCAATTGTTTGTAGCCTCTGTACAGTTTTTGTTTTTTACAAGAAATTGCTTTTTACAATTTTTCTTTTTTTTTTTTTCTTTTTTTTTTTTGAGACTGAGTCTTGCTGGAATGCAGTGGTAAGATCTCAGCTCACTGCAACCTCTGCCTCCTGGGCTCAAGTAATCGTCCTATCTCAGCCTCCCTGGTAGCTGGGACCACAGACACACACAATCCTGCCTGGCTAATTTTTTATATTTTTAGTAGAGAAGAGGTTTTGCCATGTTGCCCAGGCTGGTCTCAAACTCCTGAGCTCAAGCAATCTGCCCGTTGGGATTACAGGCATGAGCTACCGTGTCCAGCCTATAGTTTTTGTTTGTCTGTTTGTTTTTTGAGACAGTCTAGCTCTGTCACCCAGGCTTGAGTGCGGTGGCATGATCTCAGCTCACTGCAACCTCAGCCTCCTGGTTTCAAGTGATTCTCGTGCCTCAACCTCCTGAGTAGCTGGGACTACAGGTGAGCACCAACACACCTGGCTTTTTGTATTTTTAGTAGAGACCAGGTTTCGCTATGTTGGCCACATGTTGGCTAGGCTGGTTTCGAACTCCTGATCTCAAGTGATTCACCTACCTTGGCCTCCCAAAGTGCTGGGATTACAGGCATGAACTACCGCACCTGGGCTACAATTTTTGTTGTTGTTGTTGTTGTTTTGGGTTTTTTTGTTTTGTGTTTGTTTTTTTTTTTTTGTTCTTTTAGTATTTATTGATCATTCTTGGGTGTTTCTCGGAGAGGGGGATTTGGCAGGGTCATAGGACAATAGTGGAGGGAAGGTCAGCAGATAAACATGTGAACAAGCATCTCTGGTTTTCCTAGGCAGAGGACCCTGCGGCCTTCCACCGTGTTTGTGTCCCTGGGTACTTGAAATTAGGGAGTGGTGATGACTCTTAATGACCATGCTGCCTTCAAGCATCTGTTTAACAAAGCACATCTTGCACCGCCCTTAATCCATTTAACCCTGAGTGGATACAGCACATGTTTCAGAGAGCACGGGGTTGGGGGTAAGGTTATAGATTAACAGCATCCCAAGGCAGAAGAATTTTTCTTAGTACAGAACAAAATGGAGTCTCCCATGTCTACTTCTTTCTACACAGACACAGTAACAATCTGATCTCTCTCTTTTCCCCACATTTCCCCCTTTTCTATTCAACAAAACCGCCATCATCATCATGGCCCGTTCCCAATGAGCTGTCGGGTACACCTCCCAGACGGGGTGGCAGCCGGGCAGAGGGGCTCCTCACTTCCCAGACGAGGCGGCCGGGCAGAGGCGCCCCCCACCTCCCTCCCGGACGGGGCGGCTGGCCAGGCGGGGGCTGCCCCCCACCTCCCGGACAGGGTGGCTGCCGGGCGGAGACGCTCCTCACTTCCCGGACGGGGCGGCTGCCGGGCGGAGGGGCTCCTCACTTCCCAGACGGGGCGGCTGCCGGGCGGAGGAGCTCCTCACTTCCCAGACGGGGTGGCTGCCGGGCGGAGGGGCTCCTCACTTCTCAGACGGGGCGGCCGGGCAGAGACGCTCCTCACCTCGCAGACTGGGTGGCGATCGGGCAGAGACACTCCTCAGTTCCTAGACAGGGTCGCGGCCGGGCAGAGGCGCTCCTCACATCCCAGACGGGGCAGTGGGGCAGAGGCAATCCCCACATCTCAGACAATGGGCAGCCAGGCAGAGACGCTCCTCACTTCCTAGACGGGATGGCGGCCGGGAAGAGGCGCTCCTCACTTCCCAGACTGGGCAGCCGGGCAGAGGGGCTCCTCACATCCCAGACGATGGGCGGCCAGGCAGAGACGCTCCTCACTTCCCAGACGGGGTGGCGGCCGGGCAGAGGTTGCAATCTCGGCACTTTGGGAGGCCAAGGCAGGCGGCTGGGAGGTGGAGGTTGTAGCGAGCCGAGATCACGTCACTGCACTCCAGCCTGGGCAACATTGAGCACTGAGTGAGCGAGACTCCGTCTGCAATCCCGGCATCTCGGGGGGCCGAGGCAGGCAGATCACTCGCGGTCAGGAGCTGGAGACCAGCCCGGTCAACACGGCGAAACCCTGTCTCCACCAAAAAATGCAAAAACCAGTCAGGCGTGGCGGCACGCGCCTGCAATCCCAGGCACTCTGCAGGCTGAGGCAGGAGAATCAGGCAGGGAGGTTGCAGTGAGCCGAGATGGCGGCAGTACAGTCCAGCCTCGGCCTTCATAACTTTGGTGGCATCAGAGGGAGACCGTGGAGAGGGAGGGGGAGGGGGAGAGGGAGAGAGAGAGGGAGCTACAATTTTTAATAAAGGAAATTTTGTACAATTTTTTTTTTTGAGATGAAGTCCCGCTCTGTCACTCAGGCCGGAGTGCAATGGTGCAATCTCAGCTCATTGCAACCTCTGCCTCTGGGTTCAAGCGATTCTCTTGCGTCAGCTTCCTGAGTAGCTGGGATTACAGGTGTGCGCCAGCATGCCTGGCTAATTTTTGTATTTTTAGTAGAGACACGGTTTCACCATGTTGGTCAGGCTGGTCTCAAACTCTGGACCTCGTGATCCACCCGCCTTGGCCTCCCAAAGTGCTGGGATTACAGGCGTGAGCCACCATGCCCGGCCCATTTTTTTACAATTTTTAAGGAAAGCTACCCATGAGCCCATTTGGTAGCTTGATACTACTAATTAGCAGGCTGTTAGCTGCATGCTTCCTGGGCTCCTTCCATGCACTAACTCCCACCACTAAAGGGCATCTTAACCTCAGGGTGCCTGGGTTTTGATGTTTTCTACTTAATTTGACAAGTGTACATAGAGAGCCGCCATCTGTTAATTAAGAGTCGGGCATGAATAGAACACAATCCCTGCACTTGAGGAGCCTTTTTTTTTTTTTTTTTTTTAGAGACAGAGTCTCGCTGTGTCATCCAGGCTGGAATGCAGTGGCGCGATCTCGGCTCACTGCAAACTCCGCCTCCTGGGTTCACCCCATTCTCTTGCCTCACCTCCTGAGTAGCTGGGACTACAGGTGCCCACCACCATGCCTGGCTAATTTTTTGCATTTTTAGTAGAGACGGGGTTTCACCGTGTTAGCCAGGATGGTCTTGATTTCCTGACCTTGTGATCCGCCTGCCTCGGCCTCCCAGAGTGCTGGGATTACAGGCATGAGCCACCGTGTCCGGCCAAGCTTTTCAATTATTGGTTTTCAACTGACTACTAGACAAAAATGATGACAGGATGAGCAAAGGACCTTGGAGTTGAGAAATTAATTCTTCAGGGACAACTCTGGAAGGCTTCACAAAGGGGTGACATTTCATTCTTTCAATAAACATTGATTCAGAGCTTACCATATGCCAGATAAAGTCATCAGCTTCACGGAAATTACTTCTAGTTCATATTTCGGAGCCTTATATAATAGAAAATTTGTGAGGCAGGATTGGAAAGATGTAAATTCCAGGCAGAGGGGCCGAAGATGCTGAAGTTCGTAGGAGCAGACTAGAGTATGGAGGATATACGGAGCATAATAGAGCAGACACTTGGAAACCAGTTAGAAAGATTTTACATGAACCCAAGCAAGAGAGGAGGAAAATTGAAATGAGGTATGCTCTGAGTTTAAAAAAAATGTAAGATAGGCTGGGTGCAGTGGCCCATGCCTGTAATTCCAGCACTTTTGAGGCCAAGGCAGGAGGATCCCTTGAGCCCAGGAGTTCAAGACCAGCCTGGGCAACATAGCGCAACCCTGTCTCTATTATATATATATATAATTTTTTTAAGGGTAGGGGGCTGGGCGTGGTGGCTCATGCCTATAATCCTAGCACTTTGGGAGGCCAAGGTGGGCAGATCACCTGAGGTCGGGAGTTCAAGACTAGCTTGGCCAACATAGTAAAACCCCATCTCTACTAAAATACAAAAATTAGCCGGGCATGATGGTAGGTTCCTGTAATCCCAGCTACTCAGGAGGCTGAGACAGGAGAATCGCTTGAACCAGGGAGACAGTGGTTGCAGTGAATGGAGATCACACCACTGCACTCTAGCTTGGACAGCTGAGTGAGGCTCGGTCTCAGAAAAAAAAAGGAAGACAGCTGGGCGCGGTGGTGCACCCTGTGGTCCTAGCTACTCAGGAGGCTGAGGTGGGAGGATCCCTTGAGCCCAGGAGTTCTAGACTGTAATGCATTATGCAGTTTGGGTGTCCACACTAAGTTCAGCTTCAACATGGTGACCTCCCAGGACAGGGGACTATCCAGGTTGTCTATGGAGGGGTGAAACAGCCCAGGTCGGAAATGGAGCAGGTCAAAACTCCCAAGCTGGGCTGGTCTGATGGTAGTGGGTTATTAGAATTTAATAACATTAGTGTCACTAAAGTTGGTATACAACCCCCCACTGCTAAATATGACTGGCTTAAAAAATTTGTTTTAAAACCCCAAAGCTCCCATGCTGATCAATAGTAGGTTGGCACCTGTGAACAACCACTGCACTCCAGCCTGGGCAACACAGAAAGACCCCGTTTCAAAAAATAAATGGGGACAGACCCCTTAAACATATTAGAAGTCCAGTGAATAAGACAACTTGTGCGCAGTGAATGTTGGGTGGGGTTTAGTAAAAGGGAAGATGTTGAGTTCCATTTGACACAAGCCAAGTTCCAGGTGCGTTGTCTTATGCCTGTAATCCCAGCACTTTGACCAGCCCAGCATGGGAGTTTTACGCCTGTAATCCTGGCACTTTGGGAGGCCGAGGCGGGTGGATCACCTGAGGTCAGGAGTTTGAGACCAGCCTGACCAACATGGTGAAACCCTATCTCTACTAAAAATACAAAATTTAGCCAGGCATGGTGGCGCACACCTGTAATCCCAGCTACTCAGGAGGCTGAGACAGAAGAATCACTTGAACCCAGGAAGCGGAGGTTGCAGTGAGCTGAGATCTAACCACTGCACTCCAGCCTGGGCGACAGCAAGACTCCGTCTCAAAAAAAAAAAAAACCTGGAAGTTTGGGGTGAGTTATTCTGGGTTTTTTTGTTTTTGTTTTTTGAGACAGAATCTCGCTCTGTTGCCCAGGCTGGCAGGCTGGAGTGCAGTGGCGCAATCTCGGCTCACTGCAACCTCCACCTCCTGGGTTCAAGCGATTCTCCAGCCTAAGCCTCCTGAGTAGTTGGTACTACAGGTGCGTGCCACCACACCCGACTAAGTTTTTGTATTTTTAGTAAAGATAGGGTTTCACCTTGTTAGCCAGGATGGTCTCGATCTCCTGACCTTCTGATCCGCCCGCCTCGGCCTCCCAAAGTGCTGGGATTACAGGCGTCAGCCACTGCACCCTGCTTTTTTTTTTTCTTTTTGAGACAAGGTCTCATTTTGTTGTCCAGGCTAGAGTGCAGTGGCACAAACACAGCTCATTGCTGCAGCCTCAACCTCCCAGGCTCAAGCAATCCTCCTGCCTCAGCCCCCCAAGTAGCTGGGACTATAAGCACATGTCACCAGACCCAGCTAATTTTTGTTTTGTGTTTGGTTGTTTTTGAGATAAGAGTCTTGCTCTGCCACCCAGGCTGGAATGCAGTGGCGCAACAGGTTCAGTGCAACCCCCGCCTCCTGGGTTCAAGCAGTTCCCCTGCCTCAGCCTCTCGAGTAGCTGGGACTAGACACATGCCACCACACCAGGCTAATTTTTGTATTTTTAGTAGAGATGGGGTTTTGCCATGTTGGCCCAGCCTGGTCTTGAACTCCTGACCTGAGGTGATCTGCCTGCTTAGCCTCCCAAAGTGCTGGGATTACAGGCGTAAGCCACCGCGCCTGGCAGTACTTTTTTGTAGAGACAGGGTTTCGCCATGTTGGCCAGGCTGCTCTCAAACACCTGGGCGCAAGCCATCTGCCCACCTCGGTTTCCTAAACTACTGGGATTACAGGCATGAACCACTACACCCAGCCTCCAGGCTTTAACTTGGTGGTGTCATTCACTGGGAGGATGAAAATAGGGGATGTCCTGAAGAGGAAGATGTTGAGTTCCATTTGACACAAGCCGAATTCCGATGCCAGCTGACTACTTGGTGGTGGAGAACTTCAGTGAAGCAGTTTCATAAGCAAAACTGCTGAAGGCTTAGACGTTACTAGAAGTTGAAGCAGATAGTGGTGTAGACTACTCTGACCAGCTTTGGAACACATGAGGGAAGCATGCCTGGGTTGATCCAAAATTGGGGTTTGACAGAACGAGAGGTCTTGGAAGGTCAAGTGAAGTAAGAAGTTGCCTTGAGAGGGCAGCTGAACATTCCTGAGATCCAATGACGAAACTGAAGCAAGAGGATCTAAGACCTAGACCAGTGCTTCTCAAATTTGATCCCGCATCAGTATCCCCTGAAAAGCTCATAAAACCACAGCCGGCTGGGCCTCACCCTGAGTTCTTTTTTTTTTTTTGAGACGGAGTCTCACTCTGTCGCCCAGGCTAGAGTGCAGTGGTGCAATCTTGGCTCACTGCAACCTCCGCCTCTTGGGTTCAAGCGAGTCTCCTGCCTCAGTCTCCCGAGTAGCTAGGATTATGGGCACACGCCACCACATCTGGCTAATTTTTCTATTTTTAGTAGAGACGGGGTTTCACCATGTTAGCCAGGCTGGTCCTCAACTCCTGACCTCAGGTGATCCACCCTCCTCTGCTTCCCAAAGTGTTGGGATTACAGGCATGAGCCACCACGACAGGCCCTCACCCCAAGTTTCTGATTCAGTAGTTCTGGGTTGGGGCCCAAGAATGTGCGTTACTGACAAGTTCCCTGATGCTGATGCTATAGGCCCAGGGGGAATGGGGAAGCACACTTCGAAAACCCCTGGTGGAGAGTAAAGCATCAGCAGCAGGCAGACGTTGAATCATTTCCAGAGTGAATGGATGAAAAGAGGCGTCTTCTTCAGGAAGAGAGGTCTTCCTGTAGTCAAAGACTAGGCTGACGGTAAGGCCACATCGGATAACTTAAGGTGGTAGGCAGAGCCGAACTTCAGAGTCTGGATTCAGAGACGAAGCAATTTGGGGGGACAAGGTCGAGGACTGACCCTGCCAGGGGAATGATAGGAGATCAAGGAATTGGGTGTTACAAGGGTATTCAAAATGAATTATTTCTGGCAGAGGCTACAGTCTAGAGGACAGTTCCAACAGGAAGTGAAGATCTGAAGGGTTGGAAGTAGCTACGCCGGGCCTGAATTCTGTAGCGCTGACCGTGGGCAGGCCCTACAGACAGCAAGCAGTCCATCCACGTTAGTGCACCAGAACTAGCAACAAAATCTACGGGAAGTGTGCGATCCCTCAGCAACAACGCTGCACGCTGTGTAGCCTCCCTTACAGCTTTATAGGAACCACGGCGAGCACACCCTGTGGGGGCGATTGAGTTTAGTTCGTGGTCCCCTCCAGCAGGCATTCCCCTCCAACCGCCGTACTGATGAGTGACGGGGATCAGGTGCTGACCGCGCTACTTAACACCCGTGCAACCCTCCTCAAAGCTCCTTACCTCCTCATGCCTCAGGTTTCCCGCTTAAAAATGCGCTAATAGCAGTAATAGTAAACCACACAACCTCAGCGAGATGACACAGTGAGGTGGTTAACGTAAAGCTCTGGACACACAGTGCGCACCTATACATCAGTTATTAAGTGTCCTGTTGGCTACTACAGGTCCTGGCCAATGCTCAGAGTTGCGTGTGGCCTATGAGCCTCACGTTGCGGCGGGCGCGCGTCCCCGCACATCTGCAGGACGGCGCCATCCTCCTCCTTAACCCGCCCAGCTCTGGGATGTTGTTGCCTGGGCGGGACTAGAGGCCCGGGAGGAGTCTGCGCAGCCGCAGAAGGGCTTGCAGTGGCGCCTGCCGGGCGCTGAGGGCCGCGGGAGCCGCCGGGTTAGCCCCACCCCGAGGGGTCAGGGTCAGAGGCCGCCGGATGGCGTAGGATCGGCCGCTGGTGGTGGTGATACCGGGTACCCGGGCTATGGCGCCGGCGCAGCGCTGCCCTCTGTGCCGCCAGACCTTCTTCTGTGGTCGCGGGCACGTTTACAGCCGCAAGCACCAGCGGCAGCTGAAGGAGGCTTTGGAGAGGCTCCTGCCCCAGGTGCGGAGGCAAGGCTAGAGATGGGATGGGAGTGCGGGGCAGGTCAGTGAAGGCCAGAGCGGGTGTGATTTGGGGGTCCCCCTCGGGGTTCTACTTGGCCTCTCTGCGGCAGGTGGAGGCGGCCCGCAAGGCCATCCGCGCCGCTCAGGTGGAGCGCTATGTGCCCGAACACGAGCGATGCTGCTGGTGCCTGTGCTGCGGCTGTGAGGTGCGGGAACACCTGAGCCATGGAAACCTGACGGTGCTGTACGGGGGGCTGCTGGAGCATCTGGCCAGGTGAGAGCCGAGCTAGGAGCCTGCTCCAGCACAGACGCATACATATACGGGAGGAGGGTTTGGGGTGGGTGAGAAAAAGGACGCTTTTGTGATTTGATCAAGAAGGATGGATTGAGTCACTTCACAGGTTTTGCCAGCCTTGTTAGGGTAGGGGTCATATGCTGCCACGGTCCCAAGTGGTGCTGGTGGTCTGGCTGCGAGAGCCCGCTTGGTTACCGCCCCTAACCTCCCCTCAGATTCTCACAATTTTATGGGAAGAAGAGACACGAGATCTTGAAGAGATGGTAACAGTGTTCCTCTCTCAGCCGTGCCCCAGGCAGAAACCCAGATGTCAGTTTGCATTACAAACCTAATGCTTAATATCTGAGTAATATTTTATAATCTATAGCTGAGATTACTTATCCTCTCCATTTTCAGCCCAGAGCACAAGAAAGCAACCAACAAATTCTGGTGGGAGAACAAAGCTGAGGTCCAGATGAAAGAGAAGTTTCTGGTCACTCCCCAGGATTATGCGCGGTGAGTCACTGGTATGGAACGTGAAGTAGCAGAGTGAATTCTCTGGATCTTTGTCAGGTATGGGAGCTTACTCTATTAACTGGAAAGTTCAGGAGGGACTTACGAAGAATCTGCTGTCTTCATAGCACTTCTTATTCTAGGTACTATATTGGACACAAAAATGTGACAGTTCTTGAGGTTTAGTTGGGGGATAGGATTTAGCAAATAGAGAACAATACTAAAAGTTGACTGTTATCAACTACTTAAATATGAGGCACCGAGAATACTAACGTTAGAAGAGGCTGTTTATAGTTTGTAAGAAACTGCTGCTCAGCCAGTACCTACTTTTAATAGTTTTGGACTCTATTTTATTTTATCTTTTCTTTTGAGACAGAGTTTTGCTCTTTTCGCCCAGGCTGGAGTGCAATGGCACAATCTCAGCCCACTGCAATTTCAGCCTCCTGGATTCAAGTGATTCTCTTGCCTCAGCCTCCCAAGTAGCTGGGATTACAGGCGCAAACCACCACACCTGGCTAATTTTTGTTTTTACGTTTTTTTCTTTTTTTCTTTTTCTTTTTATTTTTCGCTCTGTTGCCCAGGCTGGAGTGCAGTGGCGCGATCTCCGCTCACTGCAAGCTCTGCCTCCTGGGTTCGCGCCATTCTCCTGCCTCAGACTCCTGAGTAGCTGGGACTACAGGCGCCTGCCACCACGCCCGGCTAATTTTTTGTATTTTTAGTAGAGACGGGGTTTCACCGTGTTAGCCAGGATGGTCTCGATCTCCTGACCTCCTGATCCGCCCACCTTGGCCTCCTAAAGTGCTGGGATTACAGGCGTGAGCCACCGCGCCCGGCCAATTTTTGTATTTTTAGTAGAGATGGGATTTCACCATGTTGGCCAAGTTGGTCACTAACTCCTGACTTGAGGTGACTCACCCGCCTTGGCCTCCCAAAGTGCTGGGGTTATAGACGTGAGCCACCATGCCTGGTCTCAATGATTTTCTTAATGGTATCTGGGAATTCATCTGCTGCCTCTTGGTTGGCAGAAGCTGCCCCTTCTGCTATTTTGACATATTTTAAGCCAACCTTCTTTCTAAAATTATCAAACCATCCTTTGCCGACATTAAATTATCCAGCTTTAGATCCTTCACCTTCCTTTCGCTTTAAGTTGTCATGTAATGATTTTGCTTTTTCTTGAATCCTATTAGAAGCTGTAGGTAGGACTTTCTAATAACAACCCTGTACCCACATAAAAGCTGTGTTTTCAATATGAAGATAAAAAGGTATTGTGCAAAGCATGCAGGGTTTTCATGCCTCCTGGCATAGGTGCAGTGATAGCTTCATGAATTTCCTTTTTTTTTTTTTTTTTTACAGTGTTCCTTAGGCTGGATTTAGTTATTTTTTTCTTTGCCTTTAAAAAAAAATTTTTTTTGTCCAGGCATGGTGGCTCATGTGAAGTCAGGAGTTTGAGACCAGCCTGGCCAACACGGCAAAACCCTGTCTCTACTAAAAATACAAAAATTAGCTGGGTGTGGTGGTGGGTGCCTATAATCCCAGATACTCAGGAGGTTGAGACAGGAGAATCGCTTGAACCTGGCGAGGCAGAGGTTGCAGTGAGCCGAGATCGCACCACTTCACTCCAGCCTGGGCAAAAGATCGAAACTCTGTCTCAAAAGGAAAAAAAAAATTCTTTTTTTTAAATTGAGATGGGGTTTTGCTATGTTGCCCAGGCTGGTCTCGAACTTCTGGGCTCAAGCAATCCGCCTGCCTCAGCCTTCCAAAGTGAGCCACCATGCTTACCCCTCACCCTTTTTTTTCCACATAGATTTTGTCAATGTGCATGGATTCATTTATCTTGAAATGCTGGGCAACTGCAGCTGTAGATCCTAATCTACAGTACATATCAAACAATTCAGCTTTTTCTTGTAATGTCATGACTTTTCTCTGCTTCTTTGGAGTGCTTCAGGCATCACTAGTGGCACCTCCTATAGGTCCCACGTTACTATTTGAGGTTAATGGTATGACATTACTGAAAAATATGCAGGAACCATGAGTGATCACTTTTACTGTAATATGCAATTTACTGGTGAGACAACTGCTTACAAGATGATCAGCATTACTGTGTTTTAAGCAGATACAACACTTGAGTTCACTGCAATAGGTGGCTACAAAATTGTGACAGTTGTAGTTTGGATTATAATTTTATACAGTTATGTAATATTGCATCTTTACATTTATTTTCATTTCTCTTGACCGCGAATGTCACCATGTACAGTCTGTGTTTCTGTGTGTAAGTTTTGATAAATTTTAACTTTTTTTTTTTGGAGAGGGAGTTTTGCTTTGTCACCCAGGGTGGAGTACAGTGGTGCGATCTCGGCTCACTGCAACCTCTGCCTCCCGGGTTCAAGCGATTCTCCCGTTTCAGCCTGGATTTGTGTATTTTATGGTAGTAAATCATAAAAGACTAGTATCTACATATATTTTATGCATTCATGACATACCTTTTTAATTTTTTCCATATTTCTAGGCTATGTGGTTCATCTGCAAGTTTTTTCAAATTGTTGCAAATCTCCAAAAAAATTTTCAAGTGAACTCGTGCAGTTCAAACTTGTGCTGTGCAAGAGTCAACTGTATTTGCTTATTTTCTCAAAAAGGAATGCCTAAAGGATAATCAAGAAACTAATGAAACTGCCAGATGTGGTGGTGCACACCTGTAGTCCTAGCTACTCAGGAGGCTGAGGTAAGAGGATAGCTTGAGCCCAGGAGTTTGAGGCCATCCTGGGCAGTGTATCAAGACCCCATCTCTAAAAAGAAATACGAATTTTTTTTTAGAGAAGTTAATGAAATTGATCACATGGCCATGCTCAGTGGCTGACACCTGTAATCCCAGCACTTTGGGAGGCCGAGGTGGGAGGATCATTTGAGGTCAGGAGTTCGAGACCAGCTTGGTCAACATGGTGAAACCCCATCCCTACTAAAAATACAAAAAATAGCTGGGCGTGTTGGTTTGTGCCTGTAATCCCAGCTACTCGGGAGGGTGAGGCAGGAAAATCGCTTGAGCCCAGGAGGCAGAGATTGTACTGAGCCAAGATCATGCCATTGCACTGCAGCCTGGGCAACAAGAGCAAAACTCTGTCTCAAAAAAAAAAAAAAAAAAAAAAAAGAAACTGATCACATATCAGTTAGTGTAACCAGTTGGTGTGACCCAGTTTGTGGGTCAGTAAAAATGTTTAGAGTTGATAGGAATAGAAAAAAGATTTTTTTTTTTTTTTTTGGACAGTCTCACTCTGTTGCCCAGGCTGGAGTGCAGTGGCACAATCTCAGCTCACTGCAACCTCCACCTCCCAGGTTCAAGCAGTTCTCCCATCTCAGCTTCCAGAGTAGGTGGAATTACAGGCTTGTGCCACTACGCCTGACTAATTTTTGTATTTTAGTAAAGATGGGGTTTCACCATGTTGGCCAGGCTGGTCTTGAACTCCTGACCTCAAGTGATCCACCTGACTCGGCTTCCCAAAGTGCTAGGATTACAGGCATGAGCCACCACACCCGGCCTAGAAACAAGATTTCTATGTATACTTTTAAAAATAAGCTGTTGGTTTTTTTTTTTTTTTCTGATGGTACATTTGGGAATTATACTGTAACAGGCATAAGAAGTAAGATTTCTCCCATGCGAAATTTTGTATTCAGAATCCAATAGAAATATTTCAGGTTTTTTTTCAAGATGGAGTCTCGCTCTGTTGTCCAGGCTGGAGGGCAGCTGCGTGATCTCGGCTCACTGCAACCTCCGCCTCACAGGTTCAAGCAATTCTCCTGCCTCAGCCTCCTGAGTAGCTGGTATTACAGGCATGCGCCACCATGCCTTGATAATTTTTTTTTTAATGGTGAAAAGATATACATATATTTAGAATTAGCCAACTGGACTCAGTTGAGATGATCCCTATTTTGTTGGCAACATCCAAAGCATTGTAATCAGGAGCCAGTCGAACATGTTCCTTCTCTCCATCAGGCCGAATCAGGGTGTTGACCTTGGCCACATCAGTGTCATAGAGCTTCTCTGGTGCTGTGGCTTAACATTCACAGTGAACACAAGTGCGTGTGTCTTCTGTCTTCTTCATGGAGACTCAGTGGTCAGAGGAAACTTGATGATGCATAGTGGTCAAGCTTGTTTCTCCTGGGGGTGCTCTTAAGATATTTGCACTGCCTCCGGAGTCGCAATGTCTTGGGCCGCCAGAAGGCTAGTGATACGCGGATCTTCTTTTTTTTGTGGCTGTGGACACCTTTCAACACTGCCTTCTTGGCCTTCAGAGCCTTGCTTTGGCTTTAGGAGGGGCAGGAGCTTCCTTCTTAGCTTTTGGTGCCATCTTGTGAAAAGGGGCTGATTTTTGTATTTTTCGTAGAGATAGGGTGTCACCATGTTGGCCAAACTGGTCTCGAACTCCTGACCTCAAATGATCTACCCACCTTGGCTTCCCAAAGTGCTGGGATTACAGGCGTGAGCCACTGCACCCGGCCAATAATTAGAAATATTTCTCTCTCTTTTTTTTTTTTTTTTTTGGGAGACAGAGTCTTGTTCTGTTGCCCAGGCTGGAGTGGCATGATCTTGGCTCACTGCAACCTCCACCTCCTGAGTTCAAGCGATTCTCCTGCCTCAGCCTTCCGAGTAGCTGGAACTACAGGTGCATGCCACCACACCTGGCTAATTTTTGTAATTGTAGTAGAGATGGGGTTTTACCATATTGGTCAGGCTGGTCTCGAACTCCCGACCTCAGGTGATCCGCCTGCCTTGGCCTCCCAAAGTGCTGGGATTATAGGCGTGAGCCACCGAGCCCGGCCCAAATTAGAAATATTTCTAATCAGATATTTCCATGGTTATAGATATTTGGTTGCTTGGTTCATATGCATAGAAACAGTTGTCATAACTGTAAAAAGCAGTACTTAGCAAGTATTTCTAAGTGATTGGAATAGCTTTCCTTTAATGTTACAATACTGCCTATTGATTTGGAAATTAGATCACGCTCTATGATGTTTCGATTTTACTCAAAGGCATCATGAGTACTCTGCTCATTCTTTCATTCTTTATAGTTTTCTAGTTGAGTTAGGAACTATTTTATCAGAAATCATTTTAGCATTATAATAAGGGTAGATGACATACCATAATGATTTTCAGATTTTTTTTTTTTGAGACAGAGTCTTGCTCTGTTGCCCAGGCTGGAGTGCAGTGGCACGATCTCAGCTTACTGCAACCTCCGCCTCCTGGGTTCAAGTGATTCTTCTGCCTCAGCCTCCCGAGTAGCTGGGACTATAGGCATGCGCCACCATGCCCAGCTAATTTTTGTATTTTTAGTAGAGATGGGGTTTCACCATATTGGCCATGCTGGTCTCGAACTCCTGACCTCATGATCCACCCACCTTGTCCTCCCAAAGTGCTGCAATTACAGGTGTGAGCCACTGGTCCCAGCCTGATTTTCAGATTTTTAATAAAAAGGGTATCTGGATTAGCTGGGCATATAGTCCTACCTACTCTGGAGGCTAGCCTATAGTCCTACTTACTCTGGAGGCTAAGGCAGGGGGATCACCTGAGCCTGAGGGATCACTTGAGCCCAGGAGGTTGAACCTGCAGTGAGCTGTGATCCCACCACTACACTCCAGCTGGGCAGCATAGCAAGAATGTCTCTTTAAAAAAAAAAAGGCAATTCAGTTGCAGTGGCTCATGACTGTAATTCCAGCACTTTTGGAGGCTGAGACAGAGGATCATTTGAGCCCAGGAGTTTAAGACCAGCCTGAACAACATAGTGAAACCCCATCTCTAAAAAAAAAAAATTATATTAGCCAAGCATGGTGACATTTGCCTGTAGTGCTAGCTACTGGGGAGGCTGAGGCAGGAGGATTGCTTAAGCTCACAAGGTTGAGGCAGGAGTGAGCTGTGATCACACCACTGCACTCTAGCCTGGGCAACAGAGCAAAATACCCTGTCTCAAAAACAGCAAGAAAAAAAAAGCCAATACCTGGAAACTTTGAACAGGGTGAAAAGAAGAAAACACGGAGGAGTCTGCTAAAGCACAAAACTTCTCTCTGGTCCTCAAATAAATAAAAATTTTTGGCCGGGCACGATGGCTCATGCCTGTAATCCCAGCACTTTGGGAGGCCAAGGCCAGCAGATCACGAGGTCAGGAGATCGAGACCATCCTGGCTAACACGGTGAAACCCCGTCTCTACTAAATATACAAAAAATTACCCAGACGAGGTGGTGGGTGTGTGTAGTCCCAGCTACTTGGGAGGCTGAGGCAGGAGAATGGCGTGAACCCAGGAGGTGGAGCTTGCAGTGAGCCGAGATCATGCCACTGCACTCCAGCCTGGCGACATAGAGTGAGACCCCGTCTCAAAAAAAAAAAAAATTTTTTTTTTTTACAATTCCACATTGTCATTTTCTTTTCCTCTGGTCTCAAACTCCTGGTCTCAGGCAATCCTCCCACCTCAGCCTCCCAAAGTGCTGGGACTACAGACAAGCCACTGTGCCCAGCCAGCTGCCTAGAAATTTCTGGACTTCAACCACACTGTAATTTTTTTTTTTTAATCAGTTTCTTCTATTTCCTTGAACTCAGTTTCCAGGAACTTCTGGTTTGGAAATTAGAGACCTGCCTTCCAGGTTAGTCTACAGAAAGTCTAGTTGTGTTCCACTGTGTCTTCATTGTCCTGCACACTCATGTGATACACTCAGGTGTTGTGGATTATGAGACCCAGAGAGAAACTTCCTGGTGATAATCGCACAAAGTATAGGAAAGAAACCTGGCAGTCTGTACAGTCCATTATTATTATGTGCTTAGTCCATTTGGTTAAATAATTTGAGATGCTTTTTTTTTTTTTTTTTTGAGATGGGGTCTTGCTCTGTCACCCAGACTGGAGTGCAGCGGTACAATCATGGCTCACTGCAGCCTCAAACTCCTGAGGGCTCAAGCAATCCTCCTGCCTTGGCCTTCAGAGTAGGCAGGATTTTTTTTTTTTTTTTTTTTTTTTTTTTTTGAGATGGAATCTTGCTCTGTCGCCAGGCTGGAGTACAGTGGCGTGATCTCAGTTGACTGCAACCTCTGCCTCCCAGGTTCAAGCGATTCTCTTGAGTAGCTGGGACTACAGGCACAGGCCACCACACCCAACCTTTTTTTTTTTTTTTGAGATGGAGTCTTGTTCTGTCACCCAAGCTGGAGTGCAGTGGTACGATCTCGGCTCACTGCAAGCTCCGCCTCCTGGGTTCACGCCATTCTCCTGCCTCAGCCTCCCTGAGTAGCTGGGACTACAGGCGCCCGCCACCATGCCTGGCTAATTTTTTGTATTTTTAGTAGAGACGGGGTTTCACCTTGTTAGCCAGGATGGTCTTGATCTCCTGACCTCGTGATCCGCCTGCCTCGGCCTCCCAAAGTCTGGGATTACAGGCGTAAGCCACCATGCCCGGCCTAATTTTTGTATTTTTAGTAGAGATGGGGTTTCACCGTGTTGGCCAGGATGGTCTCGATCTCTTGACCTCGTGATCCACCCGCCTCGGCCTCCCAAAGTACTGGGATTACAGGCGTGAGCCACTGCGCCTGGCTTAGTCCACCTATTTCTAATGTGACTGGGTCATTCATCAACCTCTGTGATATGGTTTAGCTGTGTCCCCACCCAAATTTTTTTGACTGTAGCTCCCATAATTCCCACGTTGTGGGAGGGACCCAGTGGGAGATAACTGAATCATGGGGGCGTTTTCCCCCATGCTGTTCTCATGGTAATAAGTCTCACATGATCTGATGATTTTATAAGGGGTTTCCCCTTTCACTTGGTTTTCATTCTCTCTGGCCTGCCACCATGAGACATGCCTTTCACCTTCTGCTGTGATTATAAGGCCTCCCCGGCCACATGGAACTGTGTGAGTCTATTAAACCTCTTTTTCTTTGTAAATTACCCAGTCTTGGGTATGTCTTTATCAACAGTGTGAAAATGGACTAAGACACCCTGTCAACATCATCTCTCTGCTCCAGTGCTGCATCTTCAGGAGCCCAGGTTCCAGATAAATGAACTGTAGTGGCAGCCAGTGGCCAGGAGATACCGGCAACCTAAATATAGTTTTCTTTTCGTTTCTTTTTTTTGGAGAGAGTCTCGCTCTGTCACCCAGGCTGGAGTGCAATGACATGATCTTGGCTCACTGCAACCTCCGCCTCCCAGGTTCAAGTGATTCTCCTGCCTCAGCCTGCTAAGTAGGTGGGATTACAGGCACGTGCCACCACGCCCGGCTCATTTTTGTACTTTCAATAGAGATGGGGTTTCAGCATGTTGGTCAGGCTGGTCTCAAACTCCTGACCTCATGATCCGCCCACCTCGGCCTCCCAAAGTGCTGGGATTACAGATGTGAACCACCTAATCTGGCCTTTTTATTTATTTATTTATTTATTTTGAGATGGAGTCTTGCTCTGTTGTCCAAGCTGGAGTGCCATGATACAATGACAGCTCACTACAGCCTCAACCTCCCAGGCTCAAGCAATCCTCCCACCCCAGCCTTCCAAGTATCTAGGGCTATAAGTGTGCACCATCACACCTGGCTATTTCTGTATTTTTTGTAGAGACAGGGTCACTATGTTGCCTGAGCTGGTCTCAAACTCCTGGGCTCAAGCAGTCCTTCCACTTTGGCATCCCAAAGTGTTGAGATTACAGGCATGAGCCACTGTGCCCAGCCTAATTTTTACTTTTGAACCTTGTAAATTGTCAAACATACACACACAAGGCAATTCCAAGGTTTGGTTGATTTGACTGGTAAAGATAGGAGGAGGCACTTTTAGATTTAGATGGTTTCTTACATAGACAGTGAAAAGAAAAGGAAGACCAAAGAGCCAGCTTCTCAGGTCCTTGTTTCATACACCAAAAAGGACAACACTGAAACAAAAAGGACTGGATGACCCCAGTGTGAGTTGTGGGATATTCTGTTGCTGGGGAATCAAATCTAGACTGTAGTAGCTAAGTGGCTTTTTTGTTGTTTTTAAATTTTACTTATTGAAGGGGTGGCCTGCCCCTCCACACCTGTGGGTATTTCTAGTCGGGTGGGATGAGAGACGGAGAAAAGAAATAAGACACAGAGACAAAGTATAAAGAAACAACGGTGGGTCCAGGGGACTGGTGCTCAGCACACCAAGGACCTGCACCGGCACCGGCCTCTGAGTTCCCTCAGTTTTTATTGATTATTATTTTTCATTATTTCAGCAAAAAGGAATGTAGTAGGACAGCAGGGTGATAATAAGGAGAAGGTCAACAAATTACATGTGAGCAAAAGAATGTATATCACGATTAAGTTCAAGGGAAAGTACTATGCCTGGACGTGCACGTAGGCCAGACTTATGTTTCTCTCCACCCAAACATCTCAGTGGAGTAAAGACTACAAGGCAGTATCACTGTAAACATGTCTCGCCTCCCGCCACAGGGCAGCTTTTCTCCCATCTCAGAGTTGAACAAATGTACAATCGGGTTTTAAGCCGAGACATTCAGTTCCCAGGGGCAAGCAGGAGATAGTGGCCTTCCTCCATCTCACCTGCAAGAGGCTTTCCTCTTTTACTAATCCACCTCAGCACAGACCCTTTACAGGTGTCGGGCTGGGAGACAGTCAGGTCTTTCTCATCCCACGAGGCCATATTTCAGACTATCACATGGAGAGAAACCTTGGACAATACCCCGCTTTCAAGGGCAGAGGTCCCTGCGGCTTTCCACAGTGCATTGTGCCCCTGGTTTATTGAGACTAGAGAATGGCAATGACCTTTACCAGATGTACTGCTTGTAAGTATTTTGTTAACAAGGCACGTCCTACACAGCCCTAGGTCCCTTAAACCTTGATTTTATACAACACATGTTTTTGTGAGCTCCAAGTTGGGTCAAAGTGGCTGGGTCAAAGTGGCTGGGACAAAGCTACAAATCAACAACATCTCAGCAAAGCAACTGTTTAAAGTACAGGTCTTTTTCAAAATGGAGTCTCTTATGTCTTTCCTTCCTACATAGACACAGTGACAGTCTGATCTTTCTTTCTTTTCCCTACAACTTATTATTATTTTTGAGACAGAGTCTTGCTCTGTCACTGGCCTGGAGTGCAGTGGCCCGATCTCGGCTCACTGCAACCTCCACCTCCGAGGTTCAAGCAATTCTCGTCTCAGCCTCCCAAGTAGCTGGGATTACAGGCACCTGCCACCACATCTGGCTAATTTTTTGTGTTTTTGTAGAGACAGGGTTTCACTATGTTGGCCAGGCTGGTCTTGAACTCCTGGCCTCTTGATCCACCCGTCTCGGCCTCCCAAAGTGCTGGGATTACAGGCGTGGGCCACACCGCGCCTGGCTTAAATGATTTTTTAAAACTAAGTGGCTTAATATTCTGCAATTTTAATCTGAGAGGGGTGGAACAGAAAGCCCCATACCTCATCAGAACCTGGGAGTTGATGAGAAACCATTTGATGACAACCTCCTAGGGGAGATGGGGAGGGAAGTGGGAGATGGCCTCATAGCAGCTTCTGGCAGACCTTCCACCCTCGTGTTCCAGGAGGATTAAACAAGCCTTTCAGCCACAATTCGGTAAGGTGTGGCTCAAGCCATTGTCTCCTTGGATATATTCAAGGCTCTCAGGGAACACTGTTGATAGTGGTATTGGTATTATACTGAAACTTTGTGTTGAGAACCAGGGTTTTGAGAACCAGGGTTTTCACTATGGCAAAAGGAAGATACAAGTAAGGAATGGAGGCATTTGAATAGGGAGGTGACAGTACAAATTACTGATTTAAGGCCAGGCATAGTGGCTGATGCCTGTAATCCCAGTTCTTTGGGAGGCCAAGGCAGGAGAATTGCTTGAGCCCAGGAGTTCGAGACCAGCATGGGTGACATGGCAAAACCCTGTTTCTACAAAAAACACAAAAATTAGCCAGGCATAGTGGTGCTGTCCTGTAGTCCTACCTACTCAGGAAGCTAAGGCAGGAGGATCTCTTGAGCCTGGGAGCCTCTTGAGCAGAGGTTGCAGCGAGCTGAGGTTGTGCCACTGCACTCCAGCCTAGGCAACAGAGCGAGCCCGTCTCAAAAAAAAGACAAAGAAATTTAGGACAGTATGCAAGATTTGGCCTGGATTCTTCTGAGGATGTGAAGTAATGGAAACAGTAAGACTGTTCCAGACTAGGGGAAGACTAGAGACCTAATAGCTGGATTCCATGTGATCTTTTGTTGGACTTTGGGATTGGAGGTGAGAGTAGAGAAGGCATAATGCACGTTTTTGAGACGAGGGAAATGTGAATATAGCCTGTATGCCTACACTCAAGTCTGAAGACATGTAAACCATGTCTATACTAACCAGCCAAATATTTGAACACTAAAAGGAAGAATTTTCTTAATGTGGTAATGGTATCATGGTTGTATAGAATGTTCCTCCTCTTGGGAGATGTGTGTTGAAAATAGGGTTTGACGTCTAAACCTATTTTGTTTTGGCAAAAAGGACGTGTGTCTGTACAAAAGAAGTGGAGCCAGTATGGCAAAATGTTTACAAGGACTCTGGGTGAGAGGTACATAGGTGCTTACTATACTGTTTTGTTTCTGAATTTGGAATTTCTCAAAATTAAAAAAATATCTACTGAGGAGCTTTTCGTTTTAACTGGTGGGGAATGGGTTCTGGGTGGTTTTGCCCCTTTTCTTTTTAGATTCAAGAAATCCATGGTGAAAGGTTTGGATTCCTATGAAGAAAAGGAGGATAAAGTGATCAAGGAGGTAAGTTAAAGTAGCAGTCCCTCACCCTTTTTGCACCAGGGGCTGGTTTCGTGGAAGACGGTTTTTCCACAGATGGACCCAGGCAGGGGATGGTTTCAGAATGAGACTGCTCCACCTCAGATCATCAGGCACTAGATTCTCATAAGGAGCACGCAACCTAGATACCTTGCATGCCCAGTTCACAATAGTGTTTGTGCTCCTATGAGAATGTAACACCACCACTGATCTGACAGGAGCTCAGGCGGCAGTGCTGTTGCAGCCTGCTTCCTGACAGGCCACAGACCAGTACTGGTCCACGCCTGGGGGTGGAGGGCCCAAGTTAAAGGAAAGGCCTCTGAAGAAACTGGCCCCCATGATCCTGTACCTGTCTAAGCAGCCTCTCTCCCACAGATGGCAGCTCAGATCCGTGAGGTGGAGCAGAGCCGACAGGAGGTGGTTCGGTCTGTCTTAGAGGTTGGTTTCCCTCGGAGGATCCAGACCAGTATCCAAATCCACTGATCCCTGGCATTCCCAGGTCCAGCATTTCATGGACTAGTGCTTCTTCTTCTTCTTTTTTTTTTGGAGACAGAGTTTCGCTGTGTCACCCAGGCTGGAGTGCAGTGGCACGATCTCGGCTCACTGCAACCTCCACCTCCCAGGTTCAGGTTCAAGCGATTCTCCTGCCTCAGGCTCCCGAGTAGCTGGGATTACAGGTGCCGCCACCACGCCTGGCTAATTTTTATATTTTTAATAGAGGTGGTGTTTCACCATGTTGGCCAGGCTGGTCTTGAACTCCTGACCTCAGGTGATCCACCCGCCTCAGCCTGCTGGAATTACAAGCATGAGCCACTGTGCCCGGCCATGAACCAGTGCTTCTAAGAGAACTCTGACTGCATTCTCATCTGCTTGGCTTGAATTCCCTTACCTGTGTGCCAGGGGGCAGGCCTAGTCAGTGAATATGTGGACAGGACTGGGAGGGAGGGAGGGAAGAGTCTGTAAAAGATGGGCAGTACCTTCCATATGCTAATTTGTTTCCTTCCTGTGATACTGGGGTCTGGAGGGTGGAGGCATGGCCTAGGCAGGCTCTTAAGCATCCCAGACACATTTATTTTTCCTGAATCAAACTCAGCCTCAGGCAGTGCCAGACCCAGAAGAGGGCTCTTCAGCACCTAGAAGCTGGAAAGGGATGAACAGGTAAGACTATTAGGGAATCTCTTGTTGGGAATTTGACATCTTAGAACATTCTGCAACCTTTTGCCTGGGAAATGGAAACAGATCTAATCTTTACCACCCTCATGGCTCAAGGACCTCATCTGGCAGCCTGGCTCATGTTTTTCAGCCAAGTAGCTTCCAGCTTACAGCAGCCCTCAAATTTGGACCTGCCACCAGCTCCAGAGCTTGACTGGATGGAGACAGGACCATCTCTGACATTCATTGGCCATCAGGTACAAAGGATAAGCAAGCCAGAAGAGGGCCAATGGTCCCTCAGGTCTCAGGACCCCTTTCTCCTGATTTTCTACCTATTCAAGCCACTGCTGCCTCCACTGCAGGCTTTTCCTTCTTCCTTCACTGTTCCCTAGTAGTGTTCTCAGACCTCTTCTCACCCTCCAAAGCGATCCTATTCACATGTATTGACACTTAGGAGTGCCAACTCCTAAATCTTGCCCTCTGTAGAACTCATAGTTCCAACTCAACACAGGACATTAAATATCCCACAGGCATCTGAAACTAACCCCCACCACTCCTATATTTCCAATCACTAGATGCAGATCCTTTCCTTTTCCATCTCCCATATCCTGTCAACAAGCGGTCAATTTTAACCTGTCTGCCTCCATTCAGCCTTTGGGCAATTTCTACTCCCCCTTCAATCCTGCCTCACAAACAGAAAATCATTGTACCACTTATGATTTTACTCTACACTTCAGCTGTATTGTGTTGCTTCGGGCTTTTGCAGTTGCCATTGTCTAAAACCTGCTTTCCTTCCCTCATCACCTAGTTTACCTTCAACTGTTAGCTCAAATGTCACTTTTTCATAAAAGGCTTATCTGAACAGGTTATCTCTATTTCAAGTGGATGTAGCACCATGTAAAGTTGCAAATGTAATTTACGTAACTTGTGCTTAATGCTCTTCCCCAATTATATGTATGCTGTGAGGGCAAGGTTTTGCTCCCCTGGCATGTAATAGCCACTCTACTTACAGACATCTCCACTGTTATGACTGTGAGCTTCCTGAGGACAGGGTTGTCTTAGAGTGACTTACTGTGCTTTCAAAGTTTAACATCAGCTGGGGTGCAGAATTAGCATTGTGGCAGCAGTCACACCCACCTCTTTTAAAGTGTGCTTTGTCTATCGTTTCTAGGATTTTTTTTTTTAATCATGCCTAGACTTTAACTAGCACTTTTTTTCCCATTTCCAACTACAGGATATACCAGGAGTTGGTAACATCCACTCAGGTAAGGTCCAGGGCAGTGTTTTTAAAACCCTGGGAGATTTTTTTTTTTTTTTGAGATGGAGTCTTGTTCTGTCGCCAGGCTGGAGTGCAGTGGCGCAATCTCAGCTCGCTGCAACCTCTGCCTCTCAGGTTCAAGTGATTCTTCTGCCTCAGCCTCCCAAGTAGCTGGGGTTACAGGTGTGCACCACCACACCCAGCTAATTTTTTTTTTTTTTTTTTTGAGACGGAGTCTCGCTCTGTCGCCCAGGCTGGAGTGCAGTGGCGGGATCTCGGCTCACTGCAAGCTCCGCCTCCCGGGTTCACGCCATTCTCCTGCCTCAGCCTCCCAAGTAGCTGGGACTACAGGCGCCCGCCACTACGCCCAGCTAATTTTTTGTATTTTCAGTAGAGACGGGGTTTCACCGTTTTAGCCGGGATGGTCTCGATCTCCTGACCTCGTGATCCACCCGCCTCGGCCTCCCAAAGTGCTGGGATTACAGGCATGAGCCACCGTGCCCGGACTTTTTTTTTTTTTTTAAATAAAGTTGGCCAAGATAAAGCGTATGTATCGGTAAAAGCCTTATATCCAGAATATATGAAGAACTGTCAACTTGATAAGGAAACAACCCAATAAAAGCATATGAATAATGTTCAACATTAGTCATTAGAGAAATGCAAATTAAAACCACAGTGAAATACCACTACATATGTATTGGAATGGCAGAAATTAAAGACTGATCATGCCAAGTGTTTGGCAGTGTAGAAAAACCAAACCTTCATACACTGCTCTTAGAATGTAAACTGGTACAGTCACTTTGGAAAACAGTTTGGGATACACCTACCACATTATCCAACCGTTCCACCCCTAACTAGAGAAAAGAAAGCCTGTCTACATAGACTTGTACACAAATCTTCAGAACAGCTTCACTTGTAGCAGCTCCAAATTGGAAACAATTCAGATGTCTATCAACAGGCAAATGGATTAACAATGGAATAGTATTCCAGGATGAAGACAGAATTATTGATACGTACGACACAGATGAATCTCAGAAGTCCAGACCTGGCCGGCGTGGTGGCTCATGCCTGTAATCCCGACACTTTGGGAGGCCAAGGCAGGCGGATCACGAGGTCAGGAGTTCAAGACCAGTTTGGCCAACATGGTGAAACCCCATCTCTACTAAAAATTCAAAAATTAGCTGGGCATCGCAGCGCACGCCTGTAATCCCAGCTACTTGGGAGGCTGAGGCAGAATTGTTTGAACCGAGACCTGGGAGGCGGAGGTTGCAGTGAGCTGAGATTGTGTCCAGCCTGGGCTAGAGCGAGACTCCTCTCAAAAAAACAAAAGGCCAGACCCCACCTCAATGTCCACACACAGAAAATCCTAAAAAATACAAACCAATAAAGCAACTGAAAGATCACCGATTGCCTGGACATGAAAATATTTTAATGGGGGCAGTGATACTTACAGGGGGATGTTTGGGGTCTAGATTGTAATGGCTTCGCTCAAAAGTCACCAAATTTAAGTGTGTATCGTTTATGTCAGTTGTGCCTCAAAGCCATTTTAAAATGACTGTCACATATGGGGTATGTCGCTTTAAATTAGCCTAGGGCCTTCTAAAGCTCCAGAATTCCTGGGCTTTGCTTTTAGACATTTCTAGCTCTTAATGAGGAGAGGTAAGCTAACAGCTAGGACATGTTTCACAATAGCCTGAAGACTTAAAAAAAAAAAAAAAAGCCTTAATTTTTTTTTCAGGTGCCACACCTCCCTGGATGATCCAAGATGAAGAATACATTGCTGGGAACCAAGAAATAGGACCATCCTATGAAGAATTTCTTAAAGAAAGTAAGTAAACTAATTCAAGAGAGGATCGTCTAAATCTTCACACTCAAAAATGGTTTCCTTGCCTGTGTGTGGTGGCTCATGGCTATAATCCTAGCATTTTGGGAGGCTGAGGTGGGAGGGTCACTTGAGCCCAGAAGTTTGAAAACAGCCTGGACAACATAGTGAGACCCCATCTCTATATTCTTCAATAAAGAAAAATAAAAGTTTCCCTATCATTGTACAGAGGAAAAACAGAAGTTGAAAAAACTCCCCCCAGACCGAGTTGGGGCCAACTTTGATCACAGCTCCAGGACCAGTGCAGGCTGGCTGCCCTCTTTTGGCCGCGTCTGGAATAATGGACGCCGCTGGCAGTCCAGGTATGTGTGTTCAGTGCCGGGTCTCCAACCTACCCATCCAACCTCCTTTTTGGAGATGTCACCCTTCATCATCGTGTTAACCCTTTATTTCCTTTCAGACATCAATTCAAAACTGAAGCTGCAGCAATGAAGAAGCAGTCACATACAGAAAAAAGCTAATCATGCTCTCTACCAACTACCATGAGGCTAAAAGCAAAGTCAACAAACCCCTATTATACCTTCCACCAAATTCTTTATCATTGTCTTTCTTAGGAAACAGACATACTCATTCATTTGATTTAATAAAGTTTTATTTTTCCAAATGTACAGCTGGTTGGACCTGTAAAAAAAAATTAAAAGAATCAGAACCATAAAGCTTTGTATCTACCTCCTACACCATGAGCCCACACATTCCTACTCACCTATTCATGCATCTTCACCAGCAGCTGGAGCATCTCCACCCTTGGTATTTCTGGTGTAAATTACTTGAGCTCTGTGCTTTGAAACCAGTTTGATAAGTCCTAGGGGGAGAGAATAGCACGATGAGATGCTTAACAGATGCTACAATAGAAACTAGTAAGGTTTTTGGCTGGGCGCGGTGGCTCATGCTTATAATCCCACTGCTTTGGGAGGTGGAGACGGGCAGATAGCTTGAGGTAAGGAGTTGCACACCAGCCTGGCCAACAAGGTGAAACCCCATCTCTACCAAAAATACAAAAATTAGCTGGGCATGGTGGCACATGCTTGTAATTCCAGCTACTTGGGAAGCTGAGGTGAGGACCACCTGAACCCAGGAATTGGTGGTTGCATTGAGCCAAGACTGCCCCTCCGCACTCCAACCTGGGCAACAGAATGAGACTCTAGTAAGGTTTGTTTTGGCCGGGTGCAGAGGCTCATGCCTGTAATCCCAGCACTTTGGACAGGTGGATCTCTTGAGCCCAGGAGACCAGCCTGGGCAACATGGCAAAACCGCATCTCTATTTAAAGAAAAGGAAAACAAAAAGACAGAGTTCTCTCAGAGGTGCCCAGAATGGTCTTAAAACTCCTTGGCTCAAATGATCCTCCTGCTTTGGCCTCCCAAGTAGCTAGAAATACAAGGGTACCACTGCACCTGGCTCCAGAATTGCTTAATCTGACGTTCGGTAACCGAGAATCCTAGTTTTTAACGATCATCTATCCTTACTTTTCCTTTAAATTAGGGCTCCATTATCTTCCACCCCCCCCCCCTTTCTGAGACAGTCTTTTGCTGTCACTAAGGCTGGAGTGCAGTGGTGTCATCTCGGCTCACTGCCACCTCCATCTCCTGGGTTCAAGGGATCCTCATGCCTCAGCATCCTGAGTAGCTGGGATTACAGACGTGTGCCCCCACGTCCAGCTAACTTTCAGTAGAGCAGGTTTTCACCATATTGGCCAGGCTGGTCTTTAACTCCTGACCTCCGTTGATTCACCCGCCTTGGCCTCCCAAAGTGCTAGAATTATAGACGTTCAGTCACTATAGTTAGCTGAGCCTTATTATTGTGGAATTATGGTAATCAGACCATACTACTGAGTAGACCGTACTAAATTTCTGGTTTTAAAATTTAATACATCAACAAAATATTTACCATAAAGGTTTTAAACATTTTCAAAGTTGTTTCAAAATAGTAATCTAATTATTTCAAAAACGGTTGTCCCTGTAATTCTATGCATCCATTTACTCGAAACATAAAAGATCCTTGGGCTTCACTAAACTGCCACAGGGTCCACGGCACAAAAGTGGCTAAGAACCCTGAGAATTCATCTCAGGATCAGGAGTAAGACGTCAGAATTACATTACTAACAGCCAATGGTCAAGCCACGCTTTTTTTTTTTAATTCTGCTTTTCCAGCAAAACCACTGAAGATGCTTAACATGGTCAAGACAATTTAACCTACAAAAACACACATGTAGGATACACCCCTCACCTTTACTAAGGAGCTCCTGAAGGGCTGCCCTGGCCAGGGAGCCTCGAATCTTCAGTCTCTCAGAGACCACAGCTGGGGTTATAAGTTTATAGTTGGGAACTTCCTTACAGAGTTTATCATAGGTAGCTTTGTCAAACAAGACTAAGTTATTGAGCTTGTCCCGAACTTTGCCTTTGGACCACTTCTGCTCACCAAAACAAAACAGAAACAAGTTAGTATTTCTGGCAGAAGCACCCTTTCCCTCTCGAGTAATCTGCGTCAGAGAAATCTGTTCCACCGTTATCAAGGATAAATTACACATTACTAAAACAAAAACAAAAAAAAAACACCGACACGTTTTTGGCCTTCAAACAGGGGCCGAGCCCCACTAGATCAGTTAAAAATAACACAGCAGGCACAGCGGCAGACACTTCGCACAACAGACCCATTTTCATGATCCTAATGGGAAAAAGAACGAGTGGTGACGGGAAGATAAACTCTCACATTTTGACTCTAGAAATCTACACCTGAAAAACCACTTACTATACAAGTTACCTATTACTAGAGGATTACGAGAGAGTTACCCCTAGTCTCTTTCAGAGAGGTCTTATTTCTACCTTCTTTTTGGCCTTGCCCCCGGATTTGTTCACTGGGTCTTTGTCTTTCTTGGCCGACTTTCCAGCGTCCTTCTTCTTCTTGTCGTCCTTAGGCGGCTGTAGGAGGGCAGCGGGAATGCAACCAGGTCCTCAAATAGCGCCAAAGTCCCCTAATACTGCGCCCTCAGCCCCCGCAAACTCCACCACCAGAGCACATGGGCCAAGCAATAACCGCGCCCGCCCTGCAACCGAGGCCGGCAGGCCAAGGAGCGCTCCCGCCGAAGGCTCTCCCCACTGAGTCCTCAAACCCAAGAACGCCGGCGACTTCACACCCCTGAAGCTTACCATTGCGAAGCTCGGAGAATAGCAGCAGACACCGCAGCCTCGTCAAGATGTCGGACAAAAAGGAAGCGCTGCTCAGAAACGGGCCCAAAAACCACCGTCCGCTGTGAGTACTTCCGGGGCAAAAGGCGGAGCCAGGCAGAAGAAGTCCCACGGCGAAGCGCTCGCCCTCTAGCCTGAGGCGGAAGACAGGAAGTGGATTCTAGTTCCCAAGCCGCACCGCCTAAATACTGCCGGAGTCTGCGCTAGTTGTGACGCATACTATAGCGCTGTTTTCCTGCACTGATAAACGAAAAGCAATCCACCAGGTCTCGGCAGCTAACTTTCCGGCACTACTTATGCCCGAGCGTGTCGCTCCCAGTGCGCAAGTGCAGCAGGTGGCTGCACGGGGGGCGCGGGAGGAGGAGGAGGAGGAGGAGGAGGCTGGGGTGGGGCCGGCGGCAAGTGCTGTGATGCGGTTCCGGGGAGGGGCCGTCGGGTAGAGGCTGAATACCAGTTTCCGAGCGGCAAGGCAGCGATGGCGATTTTTAGTGTGTATGTGGTGAACAAAGCTGGCGGCTTGATTTACCAGTTGGACAGCTACGCGCCACGGGCTGAGGCTGAGAAAACTTTCAGTTATCCGCTGGATCTGCTGCTCAAGCTACACGATGAGCGTGTGTTGGTTGCTTTCGGCCAGCGGGACGGCATCCGAGGTGGGCTAGGCTCGGGCCCGTGGCGGGTGCGGGGGTGGGAGGGCCCCAGTGCTGTAGAAGTGGGCTGGTTGTAGGTGCGGGGTTGGGGGAAAAGGGGTTGTGTCGGGTCCCTTGTCCCCTCGGCGGAATCCCCGGGCTGCACCTTCGCTGACCGTTAGCTTCACCTCTGCAGTGGGTCATGCAGTGCTGGCCATCAATGGCATGGACGTGAATGGCAGGTACACGGCCGACGGGAAAGAGGTGCTGGAGTATCTGGGTAACCCTGCTAATTACCCGGTGTCCATTCGATTTGGCCGGCCCCGCCTCACTTCTAATGAGAAGCTTATGCTGGCCTCCATGTTCCACTCGTAAGTCCCCCGTCTCCTGAACGGCAGCGCTTGTAATTTGTCTACCTTTTCTTAAATCGTCGTTCTGGTGTTATGAAAAACGCAACCGATCCAGATCTAGATTTTAGGTAATAACGGCAGTGGTGTCATCTTTTTTTGCTGGGTGGGGAGGGGCCGCGGAGTTACCCAGGCTGGAGCGCAGTGGCGGGATCTCGGCTCACTGCAGCCTCTGCCTCCCAGGTTCAAGCGATTCTCCTGCCTCAGCCTCCCGAGTAGCTGGGATTACAGGCGCGTGCCACCACGACCAGCTAATTTTTGTATTTTTAGTAGAGAGGGGTTTTGCCATGTTGGCCAGGCTGGTCTCAAACTCCTGACCTCAGGTGATCCACCTGCCTCGGCTTCCCAAAGTGCTGGGATTACAGGAGTGAGCCACCGCGCCCGGCCGAGGTGTCATCTTACTTAAAGTCAACTTCTCTTCTCTGAGCCTTAGTTTCTTCATATTTAAAGAAAGCCAGTTTAACTAAATGACCTTTAAACTTTTTCTGCTCTCAATTGTGATATCAGATGTGCCGGCCTTTGCTTAAACACAAGCTTAGTAAGCGTGGCACATATTCCTAGAGTATTCATTTTACCCAAAGTTTTAGATGTAAAATGTCTTGTAACAAAGTATGAATGTAAAATATTCACAGAATTCAAATGAACTTAGAAATTTTGACACTACTGCCAGTCAGTTCACACTACTTCTCCTGACTGTCCCAGGCTGTAATGTGAACTCCTCAGCAAATAGGGACACTTCAGTGGAAGTTTGAGAAGCACTCCTTCCTTAGAGCAACTTTGCCTCCTTTGCATATAGGCTCTTTGCCATCGGCTCCCAGCTGTCTCCTGAACAGGGAAGCTCAGGCATTGAGATGCTGGAGACAGACACATTCAAATTGCACTGCTACCAGACACTGACAGGTATGCATCTCCACGGAGGCCAGAGGAGTGTGATGGAGAAGGTGGGGAAGAGATACTGATAAGTTTGCATCTCCAGGTGGGCCAGAGGAGTGTGGTGGAGAAGGTGGGAGGAGGGGGTTGACCAAAGACACCTTTGGTAAGCAAGAAGAGGGGGTGTGCTTTTCCTGGCACAATTCTTTTTTTTTTTGAAATGTTTCACTCTTGTTGCCCAGGCTGGAATGCAGGGGCATGATCCGCCCCCTGGGTTCAAGCGATTCTCCTGCCTCAGGCTCCCAAATAGCTGGGATTACAGGCATGTGTCACCACACCCGGCTAATTTTTCTGTTTTTATTAGAGATGGTGTTTCTCCATATTGGTCATGGTGGTCTCAAACTCCCGACCTCAGGTGATTGCCCGCCTCCCAAAGTGTTGGGATTACAGGCGTGAGCCACCACACCCGACCCACAGTTCTTTTTTTTTTTTTTTTTTTTGAGATGCAGTTTCACTCTGCCACTCAGGCTGGAGTGTAGTGGCATGATCTTGGCTCACTGCAGCCACCACCTCCTGGGTTCAAGCAATTCTCCTGCCTCAGCCTCCCAAGTAGCTGAGACTACAGATGCCCGCCACCACACCCAGCTAATTTTTTGTGGGGTTTTTTTGTTTTGTCTTGTTTTGAGATGGAGTCTTGCTCTGTCACCCAGGCTAGAGTGCAGTGGCGCGATGTTGGCTCACTGCAGCCACCACTACCCGGGTTCAAGCAATTCTCCTGCCTCAGCCTCCTGAGTAGCTGGGATTACAGGCATCCGCCACACGCCCAGCTAATTTTTGTATTTTTTAGGAGAGATGGGGTTTCACCATGTTGGCCAGGCTGGTCTCGAACTCCTGACCTCAGGTGATCCACCTGCCTCTGCCTCCCACAGTGCTGGGATTACAGGCATGAGCCACCGCGCCCGGCCTTCCTGGCACAATTTTATAGACACATCTGTTTGTTTGTTTTGTGAATACAAAACCAATATTTAATCTGAAACTGATTTTGTCCATGCCACCCAGCATGTTCAGCAGAGGTTATCTTGTGTTCAGATAAAACTCACCTTAATGCTATTTCCTGTTGCGTGTACTTTGGAAGGTGTTAAGTGTTTTTCCAAAATGAAATTTGAAAGCAAAATGGATATGACCTTTGGATTGCCAGTGTCATTGCTTCACCCTCTTCATTTATTGAAAACTGCCTGACTTTGTCCCCTGCCTGGCAATGTTTCTGCTGAGGGACTCCAAAACTGTTAGTAAGTGGCAGAGCTAGAACTCAAAGCCTGGTCTTAATCAGGTGGGTGACATAACAAAGTTACTTCACTTCTCTGGTCTCATCGGTAGATTCAAAGTCTTGCCTTTCCTGCATTATGTGGTAAAAAGAATAAAATTAAAATAGGCTTATGAAAGTGTTTTGCAAAATTGAAAGTGCTGTACAAATACAGGATGACACTATTTGCTCCAGTGTCTACGCTTTGGTAACCATTCTTGGTCTCTCTCCAGGGATCAAGTTTGTGGTTCTAGCAGATCCTAGGCAAGCTGGAATAGATTCTCTTCTCCGAAAGATTTATGAGATTTACTCAGACTTTGCCCTCAAGAATCCATTCTATTCCTTAGAAATGCCTATCAGGTAAGTGGCCCCACTTCCCAGATACTGTTTAAAGCGTCCTTGCCCCTCCCTGTGTGCTCTGTCCAAAGTTAGCTGAAGCATAGTAGAGTATTACTTTTTTTGTTTGTTTGTTTTTGAGACGGAGTTTCGCTCTTGTTGCCCAGGCTGGAGTGCAATGATGCGATCTTGGCTCGCTGTAACCTCTGCCTCCCGGGTTCAAGCGATTCTCCTGGCTCAGCCTCCTGAGTAGCTGGGATTGGATGCATGTGCCACCACGCCTGGCTAATTTCATGTTTCTAGTAAAGACAAGGTTTCACCATGTTGGTCAGGCTGGTCTCAAACTCCCGGCCTCAGGTGATCCACCTGCCTTGGCCTCCCACAGTGCTGGGATTACAGGCGTGAGCCACTGCGCCCGGCCGAGTATTACTTTTAAGTAAGACACAAGGAAAGGCCGGTGGCTCACGTGTGTAATCTCAGCACTTTGGAAGACGGAGAGGGTAGGATCACTTCAGCCCAGGAGTTTGAGATCAGCCTGGACAACATAGAACCCCATCTTTACAAAAAAAAAAAAAATTAGCCTGGTGTGGTGGCGGACACCTGTAGTGCCAGCTATTAAGGAAGCTGAGGCGGGAGGATTGCTTAAACCTGGAAGGTCAAGGCAGCAGTGAACCATGCTCGTGCCACTGCATTCCAGCCTGGGCAACAGAACAAGACCGTGTCTCTAAATAAATAAGACAACAGTAGCTGGGTGCAGTGGCTCACGCCTGTAATCCCAGCACTTTGGGAGGCTGAGGCGGGCGGATCACTTGAGGTCAGGAGTTTAAGACCAGCCTGGTCAACATGGTGAAACCCCATCTCTGCTAAAAATACTGAAAATACAAAAATTAGCCAGGTGTGGTCGTGTGCACCTGCAATCCCAGCTACTCAAGTAGGCTGAGGCAAGCAGAATCGCTTCAATCTGGGAGGAAAAGGTTGCAGTGAGCTGAGATCGTGCCACTGATTCCAGCCTGGGTGACTATTTAGAGAAAACAGACTTTCCTTGGTGTTTATGTCATTTTTGTTTGTTTGTTTGTGGGGTTTTTTTTGTTGATGTTTTTTTTTTTTTTTTTTTTTTTGAGACTGAGCTTCACTCTTAACCACCCAGGCTGGAATGCAATGGTGCCATCACGGCTCACCACAACCTCTGCCTTCCGGGTTCAGGCGATTCTTTTGTCTCAGCCTCCGGAGTAGCTGGGATTACAGGCACCTGCCACCATGCCTGGCTAATTTTTGTATTTTTAGTAGAGACAGGGTTTCACCATATTGGCCAGGCTAGTCTCAAAGTCCTGACCTCAGCTGATCCGCCCACCTCAGCCTTCCATGATATATGTTGTTCTTCAAGCAGTTTCCCCTGGCTTAAGTGGGGAGAAAGCCTCAGGCCTCACACTTTTTTTCCTCACCCTGGGCCCGGCTTAGGTGTGAGCTCTTTGACCAGAACCTGAAGCTAGCTCTGGAGGTGGCAGAGAAGGCTGGAACTTTTGGACCTGGGTCATAGGCTGAACCTGTTATGGACCCCCAAATTCTGAGAGTTCCTGCAACAAGAATACTGCTGTTGACACTCCAGTGGAAATCCCAGCAGCCTTGTTAGTGCACTTGAAAGTGGGAGAATGCTGACCCTGATGACTTGTACTGATTCCTGAGCCTTAACACTGTGCTCTTTCCTTCTGTATATACCATGGTCTTACTTTCCAACTCTGTACAGATTTATTTATGGAGGAGCTAGGTCCATAAATGTTGTAATAAATATTCCTTTGATCTTGGTGTTTGCAATCTGTCTTAATCGATGGTTTTGGGGGAAAGATACAGGAAGTGAGTCAAAAATGGTTAGGGAATTCTGGGAAGATGATTATGTGCTAGTAAAAAACATAACAAATATGTGTTCATTAAATAAATGAACATAAGATTTTGAAGCATGAGCATTGGATCTAGTCCCAGAATTGCTGCTGATTTCCTGGGGTCCTGGGGTGGTGGCAGCAGTGGTGGTGGCTGTTATGATGATGATGATGATGGAACATATTTCAAGCACTTACAGCCAGGCATTCCTGCTTTATCTCACTTGATCTTCACCCTAACTCCAGGGGGTACATTCTGTTACAGATAAGAGATTTAGCAGACTTTCTGCCTCAAAGTTTCCAAGCTAGTTACTGACAGTCTGGGTTTGAACCAGGCTTTCTGGCTACACACTCAGTAAACCACTGTTACACTTCTTCCCTCCATCAAGTTATTTAATCTGTCCACAACCCAATAGCTTTATCTCTAAAATAATCATTGAACTATTCAATGTTCAGGTGAAGGCAGAGGAGGCATGAGTTTTAAAGGAGTCCATCTACACTTCAGCTTCCCCATTCCAGGGAAATGAAGTCTTTCCATTTTGGGGTGGAAAGAGCAGGTATTGACAATATTTCCCAAGGAAGCTGTCTCACTTTGAAAAAATGAATCACTGACAGTGTTCAGTATCAAATCTAGTTTTAATCTTCTATAACAAGTCACCTTTTCTTCCCACCTATATCCAACTGCGCCTAGTGGTACAGTGAGAATGATGGCCTCCTCTCTTTCCCTGGAGTCTGAGGTATTGGCAACAGCAGTCACCCACTGCTGAGAGGACTTAGGACCCAGCAGAAGTCAAGGGTCATTAGTGCCCTGCAGCTGCAGGGATAGCCTCACTTCAGGTGGGGATGGGGTAGGATGCGGGCAGGACAGGGCCTAGGAAAAGAAGAAGGGTACAGGAGCCTTCCTGACTGCAGAAGTTTCCTGTTTGTCTGAAGGCAGGAAATAGGAGCTAACGGAGTCTAAGGCCAAAGGTTATCTTTTAAATAGAGCATAGGATCAGGGAGCTGGGACCTCACTAGCCACTGATAACTTCCAGCGCCACCCGGGTGACAGAAAAGGCGCAGAAATGGAAAGTGAAAGGTTCAGGGCTAGCCAGGCAGGCCCCTCCTTTTCTCCCCGCAGAGCGTGCAGGGGGAAGGCCACCGTGGGATGGTGCTCCGGAACCTGGACTCTCTTCACTCAGCCTTCTTGGACACTCGGCCCATCTTGGTGCGGATGTTTCGTAGGAGGAAGAAGGCAGCCGTGCTGGCCGCACAAATCACTTCAGCCACCCAGAAGGCTGTGCTCCAACTGTAGTGCTTGGCAATGGTGCTGAAGGGCAGCCCAGCCAGAAAGCCGCCCACTGTCAGGGGGAAAGGGAAGAACCTAAGCCAGTGGTGCTAGCTCCAGCTTCTCACTGGTCTATATGCAAAGCACAGGTGGGGGTGAGGGAGAGACTCTAGAAGTTAACACTTACCATTGGCCATGAGTCCCACAATGGCGTGGGAGGTGCCACACAAGTTGGGAGGGGCACTCTCGTTGGCTATGACTCCAAACAGGGCAATGGGGCCATACGAGGAGAAACCAAATACAGCTCCCAATACCAGGATCCAGAGCTGCCAAGGGCAGAGTGGAGTGGCATTCAGAGTCGGAAAGCCGACCTGCCTACCCACCCCTGCCAAAGCAAGAAGAAGGCTTGGTCCCCAGAAACAAACAGTAGTCATAAAAGGACAGTAAGTAAGTGATTCTTTTCCTTCCACTCCCCAACACAACTGACAATACAGAGCTAGAGTAGGAGATGCCACATTGAGCAAACCCAGGGACCTAGGTGGGCAAGGAAAGGAGGTACAGAAGTCATCCCTCTGAGCTAGAGGCTGTCCTCAGGATTTACACAAACTGGATTGGCTAGGGGTAAGGCAGAAGGGTAGGACAAAGGTGAGACAGACCAGGAGAAAAACCAGAGATATCTTTAAGGCACCTCATGCTCTGTAAAGCCTGTGAGCTCCGCGAGAGGGTGAAGAGCCAGAGTCCAGAAAGCAACATCCTAGAGGAGCACAGGGAAGAAAAGAAAACCAGGCCCAGAGTGGAGGAGGAGAACCCAGACACAGAGGAACGGTCCAATCAGAACTGAAAAGGGTATCTGAGAGGCGAAGAAAAGATTGGCCCAGGCTGAAGCCAGGAGAGGGAGACAGAGTCAGTGGCCCTTGCGTTCTCTCCTTGTGCCCTGCCGTGAGCCAGGCCTTTCTTAATTACCTTGGGGGAGTCACTGGTCACTGTTACCCGGAAGAGGTACATGGACACTGTCATGCCAGCCATCATGAACAGCAACAGGCCATGGCGAGGGTTCCCGTAGTTGGACAGTCCCGCCTATGGATACAGTCCCGGCAATGTCACGTCCTCAGAACAGGGCAGAGAACACCCACCCCTGGACTCTGACACAGCAGGGCCTCTGCTGACGGGTCTTTGGCAATCCCACCACAGTTCTTGGCCCTGGGCAGCTCTGGGAGGCCCTGGGACCTGCTCATTACATTCTGAGGCCAAACTCTACAACATCCCCTCCTCCCCCGTCAGGCAGGACTAGGACACGTGCTGGGGAGGGCACCTAGTCTGTTCCCAGCCCATTTTCCTGGGGCTGTGGAGCAACCTACAGCTAAGCTAAGAAATATTCTGGCTGTCCTTCACATCAGTTAAAACTCTACCCAAGAGCCTTACTTCCACAACCGTAGGAAAGCTAAGACCAGCCTGGAATCATTCCCTCTTCACCCGGTCTAAACCAGCAGATGCCAACCTGCCTGTGCCCTGGGACTCCCATCTCTCCAGTGCCTGTCCCAGCCACGCCGTGAAGACTGAAAGGGACCCTTCTCCTTCCTGTCCCTTCTGCCCGCTCACCTTTGCCATGGCCCGGTCTGACAGGTAGCCAGCTGCGATGCTGCCTACAAGGCCCCCAACTTCCAGGGCACTCATGTAGGAGCTACCTGCAGTAGGGAGTTGTGGTGGGAAGAGGGAAGGGAAGGGTGGGAGGGTGTTACACATTGGGGTTGTCCCACAATGGCTTAAACCTGGAGAGGTACAGGGTTCCCATAGGTGACTGGCCATAGCTGCCTGAGTAGCGCCCGGCCTCAAGGAACGAATAAAGAGGATAAATGGAAGCAAGGCCTGAATTTGCATCCCCTGCATTGGTTCCTGCTCCTTATGCCCACCCTTGTCCCCATGCTCATCTTACCTACAAGGGCTGACTGTCCTTTCTCCTGGATAAGGAAGAACTGGCCCCAGTCAGTACAGCAGGTCTTTACTCCAAACACCACAAGGTAACCAGTGGAGAGCACCCACAGGTAAGGGGACAGCAGCAGCTCCTGCAGGGTGCTCTCCTCCTTCAAGGAGCCTGGAGGTGGGAAAAGGCTGGGCGTCAGGCTCTGCCCTGACTGCTCTCCCCAACCTGAACCCCCAACATTCATTAACCAGCCACAGGGGCAGAGTCCATCTGCACAGCCAGGATCAGCATGAAGGGTATTCCCTCACCCCACTGCTCTCCTCTCCCCCTCTCCGCTGCAAGGTCAATGAATGAGAAACAGGACCAGGGAGGACCAAGCCACTTAAGGACCAAGCTCAATGAATGAAAGACAAACAGGACCAAGCCACTAAAGCTCATGATTCTATCTATCCAGGACAGGGAAGTCTGTGCTGTTGTGAGGAAGGGCCAGAAAATAACGAGTCACAGCACTTGCTGGCTCTGCCGCTTGTCCAGTACTTGACTGCCTCTTGGGATGGATTTGTGTTTGCTACCCATGCAGCCTACATCACCACCTCTTCCCCCACATCCACTGACCAGCACAGGACCGGGCAAACGCCTAGTCTTCAACAAACATCTGCCTGCTAAATGAGTGCCCCAGTGGTCGGTCTGGGTGGGGGCTCACCCTTCTTGCCCTCAGAGGGCATGGGGTCCAGGTTGCGGAGTCCAACATCAGCAGGTTCATTGTGGATGAGCAGGAGACAGAGGAAGGAGACAACCACACACAGTGCCCCAGATAGGGCCAGCGTGCTGCGCCAGCTGTAGCTCTGGGCAAGGATGGTTGCCAGGATAGGGCCCAGCCCTCCAGCCAGGTTCATGCTGGTTGACAGGATGGCCCACCAAGTGCCAAACTGAGATGGCTCAAACCACTGTGGGGCAGAGGGCGACACGTAGGTGTCCAGCCTACTGCCCATGTTGAGGGTGGGGTCAGATGGGGCAGCCCCAGAAGCTCACATTACAGGGAAGAGGGAGAGGGCGCTTCTGTTTGGCAGGGCAGTTTCCTCCTCTGCCACCTGATCCCACCACTCTCAGCCTCCTAAAATATCTTGACAAGCAATAGGAGCTGGCCAGGAACTGCTCAGGAACCTGCTCTGGGTTGGGTGTGGAGGTGGTGGGTAAGAAAGGGCGCTCCCACATGCTCTTTAGGCATCCTCTATGACAATCCAAACAGGCTCTTTGGAAGCACTCACCTTCCGCAGGACCTTCCCACATGGGGGCCAGCCCAGCCCCTGGGCCAGGCCATTAAGGAACCAGAGGGCAGCAAAGACAGGTACTGTGGAGCTCCAGGCAAAGAATATGTTGACCAGGCCAACCAGGAGCAGCCCAGAAGAGAAGAGCCAGCGAGCACTCATCTGGTCAGACAGCACCCCACTGACAAACTTGCTGATAGCATAAGCTGCCGACTGGCTGCTGGTGATGAACCCTGCAGGGAACATTACACTTAGGGGTTAGGGACCAGGGGAGAAACACAGGAGCAATGAAAGAAGGCATGGGGTCAGGTGTGCAGGGGTGCCCAGTGGGGTGAGACAGGTTACTTCCCAGAGGAACAGGAGGAGCCTGTGCTGCAATCTGACACTCATGGGGCCCTACTACTTCGGCCACTTCTCCTGCCTCACCATCGGCACTAGCCCCAGACTGACCCATGATTCTCAGCTACAGTTGTCAGGGAACAAAAAGGGAGCAGGACGTGGCAGTTCCCCCTCCCTGGGATTTGCATATGGGATTTCCCACCTCACTCTGGATGCCAGTCCCGGGCCTCTAGCAGTTCTGTTGCTCCACCACCCAACATGGGGCAAAGGGCTCAGGATTGGAGTCAGGGACCTTGTCCCTCCTGAAGGGTAGCATGCCAGGCCACATGAAGTCGTTGTGCCAACTTTTTAGTTCCCAGTGCTCACAGTGTCAGTAGCCAGCACTCACCCTGAAGCCTCCACATGCACCCACACAGGTGTGAAAACCATGCTCAGAAGCCCCTCAAACACTCTCGGAATAAACAGTGCCTCCAGGGCATGCACACACACGTCAAATAAGCAGCCCTCCTTAGCCCCGCAGGCACCCATGTCCATGGATCTCAGAGCTTCTTTATCTGGCATATGCAGACTGGCCCCTGGCCTCTACTGTGCAGACAATCCACCCACACCACATGCCTGTACACAAACACCCAGTGTGTCTGGCTGGTTCTGTGTCCCCAGGTCCACCACCCTGCTGTTTCAGGGCTCACCCAAATCATCCTTGTCCAAAGGGATCTCTTCCACCAATGATGGCATGACAAAGGAGAAGGTCTTGCGATTGAAGTAATACAGGCTGTAGCCCCCAAACATGGCTGAGAAGATCACAGTGCGATAATAGCCATAGCCCTGGGCTGCCATGGTAGAAAAGAGCAGGCCCTACCAGCCAAGACGCACAGCCTCTGACCACAGTTCCTGCTTGCCGCTCTCACAGTTCCCAGATCTGCTGAGTTGGGTTTTTTCTGCTCCCTCCTCCACCCAGCCTCCCAGGCTCCCTTTATAGCCGCCTTCTGGACAATCATTAAGCCTGGGGAGGCTCCAAGGGGACCCAGTGTCCTGAGGGAGACAAGAAAACAAGAGATTACTGAGCGCCAAACTGTAGGGGGTGGAGGAGGTCCCGGAAGGAGGCATGCCTGTGAGCCAGGCCAGCACCCTGTGTCCCCAGGATTTCTGCCTTTACCTCCTCTATCATGTCTGCTTGCCTGTGAAACCAGCTTTGATTAAAGGTTCAACCTAATTACTTTTGTCTGCCTGAGCCCAGGGGAGGCAGGGGTGGGATGAGCAGAGATGCCCTCTCTAGCCCTGCTCCCTCAGTCACAGAACCTTCTCATTCATTCACGGAAGGTTTATTAACTTACTAGTTGACAGGCACTGCACTTGGCACTATTAGTTTCTACACCCACTCACCACCACCGCACCAAAACACAAAGTCAGACACATACCCCGGCTACCCCACTTCTAAGCCTTCTAGAGAGGGCCTCAATCCGTGGAACTCTCAATACTTAGCACATAATAGATTTAATTGTTTCCTACAGTTGCCCCTTGTAATTCTGTGCAAGGGGGACCTCCCCAGTTCAGGTCCCACGGTGTCACACAGAAAGCCCCGCTAAGGGCTGAGGTCCTGATGGGGCCCCACAGAGCTACCTCTGGGTCCCCATTACCCTGCGACGTCAGTCTGGGCTTCCTTCGGGCTAGCTGGGGGCTGCAGGGTCTGGTTTCCAACCTGTGGGACGTTGGCAGGGGCCGCAAGCAGAGGGACTGGGCAGCTCGTGGGCGGGAAGGTGCCCCGGCGGGCTTCGGGCTGCAGGGCACAACCGTCCCGCCCAGGGCCCCGGCAACATGCCCCGGCTTTTCCGCTCAATTGGGAAAGCAACTGGAGCAGAAGGCGTAGGCGCACGCGGAGCGGGCGACCGCACGTATTCTCCCGGAGGCCCCGCGCTTCTGGCACCCAGAGGCTCAGCCTGGTAGGGGAGGGCCAGGCGGCGGGCGGGAGAGGAGGAGAGGCGGCGGGCGGCGAAGAGGCGGCGGGCTCGTGGCACCTGCCCAGCCCCGTGGGTCCTCACGCTACCCAGGACACGCTACTGTGCGGCTGGGAACCACGGGGGCCGGGGGTGCAGGAGCTGGAGAGGTGCGGAGACCACAGGACTGGCGCGATAGAAAGGGGTCTCGTGCTGGTGGTCAGGGACAGCGCCTCGGTGGCCCCAAGACCCATGAATTGTCTCTGGAACTGCAGGAACAGCTCCGGGTCGTATCGGAAGTTGGGGTTCGCCAACAATGGCTCCCCAAGACCTGAGATCCCCGCCCTCAGGTGACTCCCCTCCCCCGCATACCGCCTCCTACCTGAACAGAGGCGGGAGCCCGAATAGGACGGGGCGGGGCTAGCGAAGGCTGCGCAAGCGCGGCCGGCGGGGGCGTGGTCTTCGCCTGCTGCTTCGCTTGCCGGCCAGTGGAGTTCCCCGCCCCACATGCCGGGGACGTCGACTTACTCCCTCCCGCTGGTCACGCTGCTCCTTGGACGAACGAGCATAGCGCCCCTTAGGGGCTGGGCACGGCATGTCCAATTCTTAAGTGGTTGCATTCAACAAACCAGTTTTTAGTGAGTGCCCTCCTCTACAAAACACACCGAACACTAAGGTGATAATCATTGTTCCCAAGTTGCTCACAGTCTGGGAAAGGTGTTGTAGGAACACACAGTATTTTCTTTTTTTCTTTTTTTTTTTTTTTGAAACAGTCTCGCTCAGTCGCCCAGGCTGGAGTGCAGTGGCGCGATTTCGGCTCACTGCAAGCTCCTCCTCCCGGGTTCACACCATTCTCCTGCCTCAGCCTCCCGAGTAGCTGGGACTACGGGCGCCCACCACCACGCCCGGGTAATTTTTTGTATTTTTAGTAGAGACGGGGTTTCACCGTGTTTGCCAGGATGGTCTCGATCTCCTGACCTCGTGATCCGCTCACCTCGGCCTCCCAAAGTGCTGGGATTACAGGCGTGAGCCACCGCGCCCAGCCCACAATTTGGAATTTTAACTTGTGGTTAGATTGTTGGGGACAGAGACGGGGCCTGGAGTAAATATCAAATTCTAGTCCTAGACCCACAGCATTCTAACTGTATGACCTTGGTTAATCTCTATGAGCTCCCGTTTCCTACCAGCCTGGTAGATCATTGTGAAGACTCAACAGATGATTTAGATAAGAGCTCAGAAATTCTATAAGAGTTCTCAACAACAATGGTTTTCACTGATCCCAGTTAAGAGTTGTGAGGAGTAACAGTAGTGATGCTATTTTACAACAATGATGACTGTGTTCTCAGAAACAGAGCAAATGTTAACCCTGCCCATAGCTTCAACAGAAGGTAACATAGCCTAACAAAGTCCCCAACAGTCCCAATCAGCCAGCACTTCCCGACCTCTCCCCAATAGAAACGATATTATAAAAGCCTCAGCTTGTAAGCGATCAGGGTCTCAGCCAGACTCCTGACTGGAACTCCTTGCAGGCTTATTCCTGTGAATAAACCTGTTTGGCCGTTGAGTTGCCTCCTGTCTCTCGCTCTCTTCCCTTATATCTTCCTAACAAGAGTGGCTGAAGGAATTGTAAGTGTTCCAAAATTGAGAGCAAAGATCTTTTACTCCAGAGAAGATGGTCAGGGAAGGGAGGAGGAGGAGATGAGATAAAATAGGATGACAGGCCGGACGCGATGGCTCATGCTTGTAATCCCAGCACATTGGGAGGCCAAGGCGGGCAGATCACTTGAAGTCAGGAGTTCGAGACCAGCCTGGCCAACATGGTGAAACCCTGTCTCTACTAAAAATACCAAAATTAGCCAGGCTTGGTGGCACACGCCTGTAATCCCAGTTACTGGGGAGGCTGAGGCAGGAGAATTTCTTGGACCTGGGAAGCAGAGGTTGCAGTGAGCCGAGATCGTGCCACTGCACTCCAGCCTGGGTGACAGAGCGAGAGCCTGTCTCAAAAAAAAAAAAAAAAAAATAGGATGACGATGTCACTGAACTTCGTTAATTCAAAATCGGGGAGGAGCCTAGTTTGTACCAGGCACTGTGCTTTCAGCCAGGTAGATCCAAGGACCAGGAAACAGTTCCTCCGAAACCAAACCAGAGCAGATTCTTACTTTACCTAATAGAGGAGTAGGAAGCCATCAGGTTTTTCTCCGCTTTTATTTTTAAGATTTAACATACACATAATAAAATACAAAAAGTGCAGGAATCTTACATGTACAACTCAGTGATTTTTTACACATGTTAATACCCGTGTAACCACCACCTAAATTAACAGCCCTATCGTTTTGTTTTGGAAGTGGAGTGATCTCAGCTCACTGCAACCTCCTTCTCTGGGGTTCAAGCGATTCTCCTGCCTCAGCCTCCCGAGTAGCTGGGATTACAGGCATGCCCCACCATGCCCAGCTAATTTTGTAATTTTAGTAGGGGTAGGGTTTCTCCATGTTGGTCAGGCTGGTCTCAAACTCCTGACTTCAGGTGATCTGCCCCCCTTGGCCTCCCAAAGTGCTGGGATTACAGGCATGAACAACTGCACCCAGCCAACCCGGTTAATTTTTCTATTTTTTGTAGAGACAAGAGTTTCACCATATTGGCCAGGCTGGCCTCGAAATCCTGAGCTCAAGGGATCCACCTGCCTTGGTCTTCCAATATCCTGGAATTACAGGCATGAGCCACTGTGCCTGGTCGATGGTGTTTATTTGTTTGTTTGTTTGTTTTTGAGACAGAGTCTTGCTCTGTCGGCCAGGCTGAAGTGCAGTGGCAGGATCTCGGCTCACTGCAACCTCTGCCTCCTGGGCTCAAGCCATTCTCCTGCCTGAGCCTCCTGAGTAGCTGGGATTACAAGCATGTGCCACCACGCCCAGCTAATTTTTGTATTTTTAGTAGAGACAGGGTTTCACCCTATTGGCCAGGCTGGTCTCGAACTCCTGACCTCAGGTAATCCGCCCACCTCGGTCTCCCAAAGTGCTAGGATTACAGGCGTGAGCCACTGCGCCCGGTCTGTTTTTTTTGTTTGTTTGTTTGTTTGTTTGTTTGTTTTTGAGACAGGCTTGCTCTGTTGCCCAGGCTGGAGTGCAATGGTATCTTAGCTCACTCTAACCTCAAATTCCTGAGCATTGAGCGATCCTCCCAAGTAGCTAAGACTACAGGACCAGGCCACCTGGGTTCAAGCGATTCTTCTGCCTCAGCTTCCTGAGTAGTTGGTATTATAGGTGCCCGCAAACACGCCTGGCTAATTTTTGTATTTTTAGTACAGACAGGGTTTCTTTCTTTCTTTTTTTCTTTTTCTTTCTTTTTTTTTTTTTTTTTTTTGAGACAGAGTCTCGCTCTCTCGCCCAGGCTGGAGTGCAGTGGCACCATCTGGGCTCACTGCAAGCTCCGCCTCCCAGGTTCATGCCATTCTCCTGCCTCAGCCTCCCGAGTAGCTGGGACTACAGACACCCGCCACCACGGTCAGCTAATTTTTTGTATTTTTAGTAGAGACGGGGTTTCACTGTGTTAGCCAGGATGGTCTCGATCCTGACCTCGTGATCCACCCGCCTCGGCCTCCCAAAGTGCTAGATTACAAGCGTGAGCCACCGCACCCGGCGTACAGAGGGGGTTTCGCCATGTTGGCCAGGCTAGTCTCAAACTCCTGAGTTTAGGTTATCCACCTGCCTCAGGCTCCCAAAGTGCGGCGATTACAAGCATGATCCATCGCACCCAGTCAGTGGGAATTAAATGGAAAAACATTTTAAAGCACTTTATGATCAGGATAGTAGGGACTCAAATGCTAGTTTGCTCACTGTATTTCCAAAGAATGTTAAGAAATGAGAAGATAGGCCGGGCATGGTGGCTTACTCCCGTAATCCCAGCACTTTGCGAGGCTGAGGCGCGCGGATCATGAGGTCAGGAGTTCGAGACCAGCCTGACCAACATGGTGAAACCCTGTCTCTACTAAAAATACAAAAATTAGCCGGGTGTGGTGGTGTACACCTGTAATCCCAGCTAATCAGGAGGCTGAGGCAGGAGAATCACTTGAACCTGGGAGGCAGAAGTTGCAGTGAGCTGAGATGGCGCCATTGCACTCCAGCCTAGGTGACAGAGTGAGACTCCGTCTCAAAAAAAAAAAAAAAGAAAGAAAGAAAGAAAAGAAAAAGAAATGAGAAGATGACATCCCAATACAGTACAAAGACTTTACTAAGGGATAATAAAAGGTAATTTGAACAAACGTAAATCATACTACATGCCTGAAAAACAAGCTATGACTTTGATACTGTCCAAATGTCAATCCATTCAAAATTCATTTGGCATTTTAAAACCATCCCAATCTATATCCCAACAGAATTTGTTGGAAACTGGACAAAGTTTTTATTTTTTTTTCAGAAGCCATAGAAATGAATGGACAACATTATTTTAAATATCATCCGAGGTTGGGCCCAGTGGCTCATGCTTACAATCCCAACACTTTGGAAGGATGGCTTGAGGTCAGGAGTTTGAGACCAGCCTGGGCAACGTAGTGAGACCCCATTGCTACAAAAAATTTAGAAATTAGCCAGGTGTGGTGGCATGTGCCTCTAGTCCTATCTACTCAGGGGCTTAGACGGGAAGAGACCTTGAGCCTAGGAGTTCAAGGCCTCAGTGAGCTATGATTGTAGCACTGCACTCCAGCCTAGGCTACAAGAAAGACCTTGTTTCAAAAAAATTTTTTATCTCATGTATGATTTTAACTATGATAAAAGGGACATCCTGCACAGGTGCAGTGGCTTATGCTGTAATTCAACCACTTTGGAAGGCTGAGGTGAGAGGGTTGATTGAGTCCAGGAGTTCAAGACCAGCCTGGGCAACATAGGGAGAACCCCCCGCCATCTCTACAAAAATATAAAAAATTAGCCAGGGTCGGGTGCAGTGGCTCATGCCTGTAATGCCAGCACTTTGGAAGGCTGAGGCAGGCAGATCACCTGAGGTCAGGAGTTCGAGACCAGCCTGGCCAACATGATGAAACCCAGTCTCTACTAAAAATACCAAAATTAGCTGGGCGTGGTGGCATGTGCCTTTAATCCCAGATACTCCTGAGGCTGAGGCAGGAGAATCGAATGAACCCGGGAGGCGGAGGTTGCAGTGAGCCAAGATCGCGCCACTGCACTCCAGCCTGGGCCACAGAGCGAGACTCCATCTCAAAATAATAAATAAATAAATAAAAGTAAAAATTAGCCAGGTGTGGTGGCATGTACCTGTGGTCCCAGCTAATTGGGAGACTGAGGTGGCAGGATTGCTTGAGGCAGGAAGGTCAAGGCTGCAGTAAGCTATGATCGCACTACTGTACTCTAGCCTGGGTGAAAGCAAGACCGTGTTTCAAAAGAAAAATTTTTTTTAATTAAAAAAAATGACACTCCTGGACGGGTGCAGTGGCTCACGCTTATAATCCCAGCACTTTGGGAGGCCGAGGTGGGTGGATCACGAGGTCAGGAGTTCCAGACCAGCCTGGCCAACATGGTGAAACCCCGTCTACTAAAAATACAAAAATTAGCCAGGCGTGGAGGCGTGCACCTGTAATCACAGCTATTCAGGAGGCTGAGGGAGGAGAATCGCTTGAACCTGAAAGGCAGAGGTTGCAGTGAGCCAAGATGGCACCATTGCACTCCAGCCTGGGCAACAGGGTGAGACTCAGTCTCAAAAAAAAAAACACAAAAATTAGGCGGGCATGGTGGCACACACCTGTAATTCCAGCTACTAGGGAGGCTGAGGCAGGAGAATCACTTGAACCAGGGAGGCGGGGGTTGCAGTGAGCTGAGATCATGCCACTGCACTTGAGCCTGGGTGACAGAGCAAGACTCCGTCTCAAAATTTAAAATAAATAAATAATTTTTTTTTTAATTAACCAGGCATGGTGGCTCATGCTGATAGTCCCAGCTACTCAGGAGGCTGAGGTGGGAGGATTGCTTAAGTCTGGGTGGTCAAGGTTGCACTGAGCAGTGATTGTGCTACTGCACTCCTGCCTGGGCAACCGAGTGAGACCTTGTCTCCAAAAAAGTAAAAAAAAAAAAAAAAAAAAAGGAAGCCATCCCAAATCAATAGAGTGGAGTGGATTAACTAATAAATAATGCCAGGCACAGTGGCTCATGCCTGTAATTGAAACACTTTGGAAGGCCAAGGCAGGAGAATTGCTTGAGCCGAAAAGGTTGAGGCTGCAATGAGCTGTGATCACGCCACTGCACTCCCTCCTGGGTGACAGAGTGAGACCCTGCCTCAAAATAAATAAATAATAAATAGATAAATGAATAAATTGTTCTAGGTATTTAGAAAAAATCAACTTAGATCTCTATTGCACACTCCACACAAAATAAATCCCAGATAGATTTAAAAATGCCATTTAAGACCTGGCACAGTGGTTCACGCCTGTAATTCCAGCACTTTGGGAGGCTGAGGAGGGCAGATCACCTGAGGTCAGGAGTTCAAGACCAGCCTGACCAACATGGTGAAACTCTGTCTCTACTAAAATTACAAAAATTAGTTGAGCGTGATGGCACATGCCTGTAGTCCTAGCTACTTAGGAGGCTGAGGCAGGGGAATCACTCAAACTCAGGAGGTGGAAGTTGCAGTGAGCTGAGATTGCACCACTGCACTCCAGCCTGGGCGACAGAGAGAGACTCCGTCTCAAAAAAATAAATAAATAAATAAAGAGGCTGGGCGTAGTGGCTCACGCCTGTAATCCCAGCACTTTGGGAGGCCAAGGCAGGCAGATCACCTGACGTCAGGAGTTTGAGATCAGCCCAGCCAACACGGTGAAACCTCATTTCTACTAAAAATACAAAAATTAGCCGAGTGTGGTGGCAGGTGCCTGTAATCCCAGCTACTTGGGGGCTGAGGCAGGAGAATCGCTTGGACCTGGGAGGCGGAGGTTGCAGTAAGCCGAGATCGCAGCATTGCACTCCAGCCTGGGGGACAAGAGCGAGACTTCATCTCAAAAAAAAAAAAAAAAGAAAGAAAAGAAAAAAGAAAATGTCATTTAAGAAAATAAAACTGCTAGGCGTGGTGGCTCACGCCTGTAATCCCAGCACTTTGGGAGGCTGAGGCAGGTGGATCACGAGGTCAGGAGATCGAGAACATCCTGGCTAACACGGTGAAACCCCGTCTCTACTAAAAATACAAAAAAAAAAAAATTAGCCGGGCTTGGTGGCAGGCACCTGTAATCCCAGCTACTCGGGAGGCTGAGGCAGAAGAATGGCATGAACCTGGGAGGCGGAGCTTGCAGTGAGCCAAGATCGCGCCACTGCACTAAAGCCTGGACGACAGAGTGAGACTCCGTCTCAAAAAAAAAAAAAAAGAAAAGAAAGAAAATTAGGCCGGGCGCGGAGGCTCACGCCTGTAATCCTAGCACTTTGGAAGGCCGAAGTGGGTGGATCACGAGGTCAGGAGATCGAGACCATCCTGGCTAACACAGTGAAACCCCGTCTCTACTAAAAATACAAAATTAGCCAGGTATGCTGGTGCATGCCTGTAATCCCAGCTACTCGGGAGGCTGAGGTAGGAGAATTGCTTGAACCTGGGAGGCGGAGGTTGCGGTGAGCCAAGATCACACCATTGCACTCCAGCCTGGGCAACAAGAGCGAAACTCCGTCTCAAAAAAAAAAAAAAAAGAAAATTAGAGATGGTATCAACATGGGAGAGGTAACTTGATAAATTAACACTGAGGAATTTACTTGGTAAAGGGGGATAATATAAATTTTGAAAGCTTAAGGAATTGACAGAAAAATAAACATAAGAATAGGTCTTAATCATTAAAGAGTAACCACCAGAATAATCCCAGCTGCCATGCTTGGCTAATTTTTTATTTTTATTTTTTGTAGAGATGGGGGTCTCACTATTGTTGCCCAGACTGGTCTCGAGCTCTTGGGCTCAAGTAATCCTCTCGCCTCAGCCTCCCATAGTGCTGGGATTACAGGCGTGAGCAACCACGCCCAGCCATGTGAGAGTTTTAATTCCTCTACAGCCTCATCAACACTAGTTTTCTTTTTTTTTCTTTTTTCTTTTCATTTATTTATTTATTTATTTATTTATTTATTTATTTATTTATTTTGAGACAGAGTCTGGCTCTGTTGCCAGGCTGGAGTGCAGTGGCGAGATCTTGGCTCACTGCAACCTCCTCCTCCTGGGTTCAAGTGATTCTCTTGCCTCAGCCTCCCATGTAGCTGGGATTACAGGCGTGTGCCACCACACCCGGCTAATTTTTGTATTTTTAGTAGAGATGGGGTTTCACCATATTGGCCAGACTGGTCTTGAACTCCTGACCTCAGGTAATCCGCCCGCCTCGGCCTCCCAAAGTGTTGGGATTACAGGTGTGAGCTACTGCGCCCAGCCAATTTGTGTATTTTTAGTAGAGACAGAGTTTTGCCATGTTGGCCAGGCTGGTCTCAAACTCCTGGCCTCAAGTGATCCACCCACTTTGGCCTCCGAAAGTGCTGGGATTACAGATGTGAACCACTGCCCCCGGCCTACAGAGAGCAGTTTTATTAATCAAATGCTAACAGTTGAGATATGGCCAGACTCATGCCTTTAAAAGACTGTTCCAGCTTTTTGGGCTCAGTGAAGAGATTTCATAAGAAAAACTTGGCATGGGAAACATATGGGAGTGGTACAGGAGGGTATCTATGTGTCTTGTTCCGATAGCTCTCTTGAGTAATTTCTTGTCTGGAAGCCCAGTTGGCATCATCTTGACTTCTACCTGGTGGTTTTGGATTAATTGGTCGTGACTCCCCCTAAACAGGAGGATTCGGTAGCTGAAGGGGTGGGTTGCTCCTCCACACCTGTGGGTGTTCCTTGTTAGGTGGAACGAGAGACTTGGAAAAGAAAGAGACACAGACAAAGTACAGAGAAAGAAATCGGGGGACCAGGGGACCGGCGCTCAGCATATGGAGGATCCCGCCGGCCTCTGAGTTCCCTTAGTATTTATTGATCATTATTGGGTGTTTCTCGGAGAGGGGGATGTGGCAGGATCATAAGATAATAGTGGAGAGAAGGTCAGCAGGTAAACACGTGAACAAAGTTCTCTGCATCATAAACAAGGTAAAGAATTAAGTGCTGTGCTTTAGATATGTATACACATAAACATCTCAATGCCTTACAGAGCAGTATTGCTGCCCGCATGTCCCACCTGCAGCCCTAAGGCAGTTTCCCCCTATCTCAGTAGATGGAATATACAATCGGGTTTTACATCGAGACATTCCATTGCCCAGGGACGAGCAGGAGACAGATGCCTTCCTCTTGTCTCAACTGCAACGAGGCGTTCCTTCCTCTTTTACTAATCCTCCTCAGCACAGACCCTTTACGGGTGTCGGGCTGGGGGACGGTCAGGTCTTTCCCTTCCCACGAGGCCATATCTCAGGCTATCACATGGGGAGAAACCTTGGACAGTACCTGGCTTTCCTAGGCAGGGGTCCCTGCGGCCTTCCGCAGTGTTTTGTGTCCCTGGGTACTTGAGATTCCTTCAAGCATTTGTTTAGCAAAGCACATCTTGCACAGCCCTTAATCCATTTAACCCTGAGTTGACACAGCACATGTCTCAGGGAGCACAGGGTTGGGGGTGGGGTTACAGATTAAAATGGAGTCTCTTATGTCTACTTTCTATACAGACACATTACCAATCTGATCTCTCTTTCTTTTCCCCACAGGTAGCTGGGTCTTTATTCCTGGCTTGTTTCAAAATTAGCCCCTGGCTGAACAGGATGGCTCATGCTTGTAATCCCAACACTGGGAGGCACAGGCAGGAGGATTTTTTTTTTTTTTTTGAGATGGAGTCTTGCTCTGTCACCCAGGCTGGAGTGCAGTGAGTGATCTCCGCTTGCTGCAAGCTCCGCCTCCCGAGTTCATGCCATTCTCCTGCCTCACCTTCCCAAGTAGCTGGGACTACAGGCACCTGCCACCATGCCCGGCTAATTTTTTTGTATTTTTAGTAGAGATGGGGTTTCACCGTGTTAGACAGGATGGTCTCGATCTCCTGACCTGGTGATCTGCCTGCCTCGGCCTCCCAAAGTGCTAGGATTTCAGGCATGAGCCACTGCGCCCAGCCCCACTACGCCCAGCTATTTTTTGTATTTTTAGTAGAAATGGGGTTTTGCCATGTTGGCCAGGCTGGTCTTGACCTGAGGTATCCTGACTGGGATTACAGGCGTGAGCCACTGGGCCTGGCTATTTGTTTTTTTTGAGAGAAGTCTTGCTCTTATCCCCCAGGTTTGAGTGCAATGGCTTGATCTCCACTCACTGCAACCTCTGCCTCCCAGGTTCAAATGATTCTCCTGCCTCTGCTTCCCAAATAGCTGGGATTAAATCGCCTGCCACCAAGCCCGGCTAATTTTTGTATTTTTTAGTAGAGACTGGGTTTCACCATGTTGGCCAGGCTGGTCTCGAACTGCTGACTTCAGGTGATCCGCCCGCCTCGGCCTCCCAAAGTGCTGGGATTACAGGTGTGAGCCACTGCGCCCGGCCGGGCCTGGCTATTTTTTATTTTTATTTTTGAGGCAGAGTCTCGCTCTGTTGCCCAGGCTGGAGTGCAGTGGCATGACCTCAGCTCACTGCAACTTCTGCCTCCTGGGTTCAAGTAATTCTCAAGCCTCAGCCTCCTAAGTAGCTGGGACTACGGGCACACACCACCACACCCGGCTAATTTTTTGTATTTTAGTAGACATGGTGTTTCGCCATGTTGCCCAGGGTGGTCTCAAACTTCAGAGCTCAGGCAATCCACTCACCTCGGCTTCCCAAAGTGCTAGGATTACAGATGTGAGCCACCATCCCTGGCCAAAATAAATATTTTAAAAATATTTGGTAGAATTCACCAGTGAAGCCATCTAGTCCCGATTTTTTTTTTTTTTTTTTTTTTTTTTTGAGACGGAGTCTTGCTCTGTTGCCAGGTTGGAGTGCCGTGGCCCAGTCTTGGCGCACTGCAACCTCTGTCTCCTGGGTTCAAGTGATTCTCCTTCCTCGGCCTCCTGAGTAGCTGGGATTACAGGTGCCCACCACCACGCCAAGCTAATTTTTGTATTTTTAGTACAGACAGGGTTTCACTGTGTTAGCCAGGCTAGTCTCAAACTTCTGACCTTGTGATCTGCCTGCCTCAGCCTCCCAAGGTGCTGGGATTACTAGCCCGAGCCACCGTGCCTGCCCCCCACCTCCCCACCCTTTTTTTTTTTGAGACAGAGTTTCGCTCTTGTCGCCCAGGCTGGTCTCAAACTGTTGACTTCAGGTGATCCGCCTGCCTCGGCCGCCCAAAGTGTTGGGATTACAGGCTTGAGGCAAGGCGCGCCGGGCCTTTTTTTTTTTTTTTTGAGTCGGGGTCTCTCCCTCCCAGGCTGCAGTGCAGTGGTGCGATCATAATCTACTGCAGCTTTGAACTCCTAGTTTCAAGTGATCCTCCTGCCTCTGCCTCCTGAGTAGCTAGGACTACTATTTTTTGTAGAGATGAGGTCTGGCTATGTTGTCTCAAACTCCTGGCCTCAAGCGATCCTTCCACTCCTGCCTCCCCAAACACTGGTATTACAGCCATGAGTCACTGCACTTAGCTTCGCCTTTTTTTTTTAGAGCACTTTTAGGTTCACAGCAAAATTGAGGGGAAAATACAGAGTTCCCGTATATTCCCTTCCTCCATACACTCACAGCTTCCCCCATAATAAACACTTCACACCAGAGGTCTACAGGTGTTACATCTGAGGAACCTACACTGACTCATCATATTTGCCCAAAGTCTACACTTTCAGTTGTCTTGGTGTTGCACATTCTATAGGTTTTGACAAATGTATATGTACCCACCATTATGGTGTCATACAGAACTTTGGGTGATTGTAACAAATGTACCACTCTGGGGGAGATTGAGTATGTGGGGACAGGAGGTATATGGCAACTCTGTACCTCCTGCTCAATTCTGCTGTGAATCTGAAACTGTCTAAAAGTCATCCAAAAAAAAAAAAACAAAAACCCAAAACTTCCACATTCAAAACTTATCTGACTTGTTCAACTTTTAGAGAAAAAAGACAACCCTTCGTGGTTATTTTTTTTGTGTGTGACAGAGTCTAGCTGTCGCCCAGGCTGGAGTGCAGTGGCACGATCTCAGCTCACTGCAACCTCATCCTCCCGGGTTCAATTGATTTTCCTGTCTCAGCCTCCTGAGTAGCTGGGACTACAGGCGGGTGCCACCATGTCCGGCTGATTTTTTGTATTTTTAGTAGAGACGGAGTTTCACTGTGTTAGCCAGGATGGTCTCGGATCTCCTGACCTCATGATCCGCCTGCCTTGGCCTCCCAAAGTGCTAGGACTACAGGCGTGAGCTACTACACCCGGCTGGGCCTTCATGGTTATTAAATGTAAATACAACGGGGCCAAGCTCAGTGGCTCATACCTGTAATCCCAGCACTTTGGGAGGCCAAGGCAAGCAGATCATTTGAGTCCAGGAGTTCAAGACCAGCCTGAGCAACATAGTGAAACCCCGTCTCGACCAGAAAATACAAAAATTAGCCAGGTAGTCCCTGCTACAGGGCTGAGGTGGGAGGATTGCTTGAGCCTGGGAGGTCGCGGCTGCAGTGGGCCAAGATGGCACCATTGCACTCCAGCCTGGGTGACAGAGCAACACCCTGTATACCGTATACAACTGCTTAGATATGTACATGATTAGTGACAAGAGGGATCCTCCCTTGGTAATAGAAAATTTGGGCTAGGCATGCTGCATCCCAAACTGATGAACCGAAACTGCTACAAATGGTCTCTACCAACACATTCCCACGGCTAAGTACGAAGAACAAGGGCGAATGGTCAGAATTAAGCTCAAACCTAGCTGAAGCACTCAACATTGATTCATTCCTTGGACCAATTACTTGCTAAATCTCTATGAACTGGTATCTTATTTGTACAATGAGGTTGCTATTTTAAAAATTAATGTTACCAGCTGGGCCCAGTGGCTCAGGCCTGTAAACCCAGCACTTTGGGAGCCCAAGGCAGGTGGATCGCTTCAGGTCAGTTCCAGACCAGCTTAGCCAACATGGTGAAACCCCGTCTCTACTAAAATACAAAAAAAATTTAGCTGGGTATGGTGGCAGGTGCCTGTAATCCCAGCTACTCAGGAGGCTGGGGCAGTAGAATCACTTGAACCCGGGAGGCGGAGGTTGCAGTGAGCCTGGATCGCATTACTATACTCCAGCCTGGGCAACAGAGCAGGACCCAGTCTCAAAGAAAAAAAAAAAAAAAAAGTACGTTACTTAAAAATGCCTGGGATATAGGAGTCCAAATAATGTTAGCAGTAAAATAAAACCAGTATTTTGTTTCCTTGAAAAAAATACATATACAAATCTCAACTAAGTCCAAAGTGTCAATAACATTTTGATGATGTAATTATTCAAACTTTTTGAGGTTTTCACTGTCACACATGCTGGAGTGCAGTGGCACGATCATAGCTCACTGAAGCCTCGAAGTCCTGGGCCCAAGGGACCCACCCTCCAGCCTCAGTCTCCCAAGTAGCTGGGTCTACAGGCACACATCCCCACACTCAGATACTTTTTTTTTTTTTTTTTGAGACAGAGTCTTGCTGTTGCCCAGGCTGGTCCGACCTCAAGCTATCCTCCCATCTTGGCCTCCCAAAATGTTAAGATGACAGGTATGAGCCACCATGCCTGGCCCAAAATTTTTCTATTTTTAAAAACTCACAGCACAAAAACTGTAGAAAAGAATATTTTATTGAAACAGTTTCTCAATTAACAATGGAGCAAAGTACAATTTGACTCAAACCTGTCCAACCAGCATCAACAGCTACTGAAAGAATTCAAACATACAGAAGAGGTGGGGGTGGGGTGAGGGGTGGGACCCTTAGGTCCCATCTCTGCCAATGTGGCAAAAAAAAAAAAAAAAGGAAAAGACAAAATGACTGACACAGCCAGGTTCATTCTTGTCTTGGAGCTGAGGCAGCAGCCCTAGCTCCTGCTACAGACGGAATACTGGAGGACGGGCTCCCTAGGCGTAGGTATGGTGGGTCGGGGGCCCCCAACCTAGCAGAGTGATGCACAGAGGAAGGCCAGCCCTGACCCTCCTCCTTCATCCACAGGCCTGCCTCAGAGAGAGGGAGGTGGCATCTCTACATTCACACCATGGTCTCTCCTTTCCCCAGGATCTTGGGATAGGGACTCACAGTAGAAAGCACATTTTGGTCAGCCCAGGGGGTCAGGGGGTGAGGGAAAGGCTCTGTCTGGGAGGAGCAGAACAGCAGAAGAGAGGAGGAGGCAGGGAGTTACAGGAACCTGGGGTACCAGGCTGCTGGGAAGATGCAGATTATGACAGAGCTTGCACGATGCTGGCACCCCATGCCAACCACTCTACGTGGCTTTCCTCTTCGGAGAGGTGGTGGGCTCCCTTCTTCACTGTGCCCCTCCCTCCTCTGGCCACTAGGGGTGGGAAATACGAGTGAGAATCCTTCCAGATTTACTTCCGCCAATCCAGAGGTACAGGCTTTTAGGCAAGGGGCAGAGAACTGCCCAATTTGCTGCAGGAAGCCAAGGAAACCCAGGGGGAAAGGAGCTGGATGGGAATGGGGAAGGGAGGCTCAGAGCAAGAGAAGCCCGCAGAGGGAGGAAAGAGCACAGATAGGCACTCAGAAACCAAACCTGGTAACTGAGGCTCTGCAGACACTGGCCTGAAAGGATGCTCATCGCATGGTGGGAGAGGAAGGGAGGGAAGGAACAATCACCAGAGAAGAGTGGAAACTCCCCAGCAACCTGATACCCTTCCCATCACCGGGACCCATCAGCCACTGGCAGCCATTCTCTTCCTACCCACAGGCAAAGGATTCAGAAATTAATAGTGATTTTTCCCAAATTTAGGGCCTATATGGGTAGGGAACAGGGAGTGGGGCTGGGGAGGAGAACAGTTTCCATTTTTAACCACAGAGGTACTGCAGAAGGAACCAGTGAGCTGTCCCTCCCTTCCCCTTCTCCACACCTCCAAATCACAGGGGTGAGAAAGGAACTCCAGCCGAGGGCAGGACCAACCCCTCCCCCAACCCTCGATGTTAAATAAATAGAAGTGGTGGGGGAAGGGGGTGGAGATGAATGGGGAAAACAGAGGTGGGGGTTATAGTTCGTCGTTCTTCAAAGGCCGCTTCTGTCCTGTCGATTGTTCTTTCTGTTCAGGTTCTGTTGGGAGTTTGGGGGAGCAAAGGAATCACCGCAGGTGAAACAGAGGAACCAACCCCAGTTCTTTGCAAAGGATTTCCTGAGACCCCACCAGGCTTCCCACCGTAGCCCCGGCTCCATCCTCACCTGCTCCAGGACCTCCTAACTCCAAAGGCTCAGTGTCTCCTGGCTCGGATCCTGCTTTGGGAAGAAACAGGTTAGTCTCCTCAGAAGGGAGGAAGAGGCTAAGGGAAGGCTGGGCCAGTTTTTCCATGAAGAGCCAGCTAGTAAATATTTTAGGATGCATGTACCACATTTGGTCTCTTTGCCTACTCTGTTTTTTGAGACAGAGTCTCTGTTGCCCAGGCTGGAGTGCAGAGTGCAGTGGCGCCATCTTGGCTTACTGCAACCTCTGCCTCCCAGGTTCAAGTGTTCTCCTGCCTCAGCCTCCTGAGTAGCTGGGATTAAAGGTGTGCGCCACCACGCCTGACTCTTTTTTTTGGTATTTTTTTAGTAAAGATGGGGTTTCACCATGTTGGCCAGGCTGGTCTCGAACTCCTGACCTCAGGTGATCTACCCGCCTCAGCCTTCCAAACTGCTGGGATTACAGGCGTGAGCCACCGTGCCTGGCCTTTTTTTTTTTTTTTTTTTTTAAACAACCCTTTAAAAACGCAAAGGCCATTCAAGCTCATGGGCTGTCTAGAAACAGGCTGTGCCTGCCAGTTTGCCTACCCCTGGGCTAATGCAACATCCACGTGCTCAACCATGGTTGCTCCAACTCACCAGTCTCTACTTTCTCAGGTTCTGAAATGGGCTCTGCATCTTCAGTCTGGCCTAGAAGGAAACCAGGGGTAAGACATAGCCTCAGGAAGGAAAGGAGGCTGTCTCCCTGTCCAGCAGAACATGCAGCCAGGTACCCTGTTCTCACCTGCTGGAGGGATGACCTTCTCCCCCTGGTCACTGGCACTGGCATTGAGGGGTGGCTCTGCCCGGGTCCCATTCTTGTCCTTAGGCCGGGGCCGGGGCTTGGTAAACTTGGCCTTATTGAGCAGATACTGCACCTCTCGGTCCAGGGCCATCATCTTAGCTTCAATGTCTTTTGAGAGCAACACAGGCTTCTCTGTGGCGGGCAGCTTAGCCTGCTCGGCCAGAGTTGCATTCTTCCAGGCCTGTGGGTGAGACCAGGAGAGGCTCCAAGCTAGCCATGGAGAGAGCAGACATCTCTGTCCCAGATGGAATCACACCCCCAACCAGCCTCTTCCCTCAGACTGCAAATCACTGCCACCCCTGGCCTCAGCCCCAAGAGGCTAACAGACTCCTCAGAAGGGTATTAAAGGTTCTCCACAATGAAGTCCCAACCTGCAGGTTTCTGGTTTACATCCTACTACTCTGGAGTGACTACAACTGAACAAACCCCTTGAATAGTCCTTTTTTTTTTTTGAGACGGAGTCTCGCTCTGTTGCCAGGCTGGAGTGCAGTGGCGCGATCTCGACTCACTGCAACCTCCGACTCCTGGGTTCAAAAGATTCTCCTGCCTCAGCCTCCTGAGTAGCTAGGACTACAGGCGACCACGCCCAGCTAATTTCTGTATATTTAGTAGAGACGGGGTTTCACCATGTTGACCAGGATGGTCTCAATCTCTTGACCTGGTGATTCGCCCACCTCAGCCTCCTTAAGTGCTGGGATTACAGGCGTGAGCCACCGCGCCCAGCTGAATACTCATTTCTTGACTCTCCACTTTACTGAGCTCTGGCTCAAGAGTCCCCACACATCCAAAACAGTTTCTGCTTCACATGACACATCAGTTTCACCTAGCCAAACCCTGGCCCATGTTCTGAACCTAGCTCAAATCCCAGCCCCTCAAAGCAGCTTTCTCTGTCCTCATGGGATGGGCTTTTTTGCTCCTCCAGGCTGATGACTCTTATGGCCATGGCCCTTGCTTGGGACTAATCAGAGGTGGGCTCAAATACAAACATCTTTTGTCTTCAGGTTAGATGCTAAGCCAGGAGGCAGGGGCTGCTGTGGCTTCATCTCTCCACCTCTCCCACAGTACCTAGGATGGCAGCTAAGTATCTGGTTAAGTATTTACGAAGTGATTACCCAGGTCTCATTGATGACTTTCTCTAACGTTGTCATCTCCACCTCAGTGAAGATCTGGTCCATCTCTGGGATGAGCCGGGCCCCCCTGGAAGCCAGAAAGGAGACCATTAGCCCCAGAGGGAGAGGGGCCTGGAGTGTGGGGAGTGGGAAGCTGGTAGGAATGAAAACCAGTGGCCTTGGCAGGACTGCAAAAAGGGTTCAGGGGCTGCTCACTTGAGGAACATGCTGGAATGGTTGAGGAGATTATCGAGGGCAGACAGCCGTTCGGGCCACTTCTTGCGCTCCTCTACCCGAAAAAACAGCCCTTGGCACAGCTTCCTCAGCTCAGCCAGCTTCTCCTTCAACATCTGATGGATGTGCGATTGGGCAGAGGGGTGGAAGGGACGACAGCAGAGCCTGGAGTCAGCCCCATGTCCTTCTTTATGGGCTCAAGCCCCAGCTCTTCTCTCTCTCTGACCCTGGGAGAGGAAGGAGAGCTCCCACTCCACCTGCCATGTCCTGAGAGGCCCCTCACCACTGTGGTGGCTCCAACACCCTCATCCTCCAGCCAGGTGGATGCGGCGCTGAGCTTCCCAGAGATCTCCTCACGCTGCTCCTCTGTGGACACTTCCTGGTACTCGGGCTGGTACAGCTTGTCCTGGGGAGGGGGACATGTAAACACATGCACCCACAAGCCCAGAGGCAAGGCCCACAGAGCCAGGTGTAAGCCCAGTGGGGGGGCTGCTGCCTCCTGCCCACTGACCTGGGTCTCAAATATGAATGCTTCCAAGCTGTTGGCAGCTTTTTCCCGTTCCTGCTTCTCCAGGTCTCGGAGTGTCAAGTCCTGAAGTCTATGGGACAAAGGAGGGGTAGGGATGAGGGAGAGGGCAAGTGAGAACTTGAGACTCTGGGTCCGACAGCCCTCCCTCCCAGGGCGCCATCCCACATCCTGCCCACCTTGCACACACATGTACACACACACACCAGCTGTCCTCACTTACTTCTGCACCGACTGAGCCAGCTTATCCTCTGGCAAGTCAGGCAGGTCCAGAACAACCAGCTCCACCCCGATCTCCTCTACCATTCGCCGCTTCCTGGCGGGCTTCTGCTTCTTCTCTCCCTCTGGGGCTGGAGCGACGCCCTCAGGCCCTGCCTCTGCCTTCTCACTTGGTTTCTGGGTGGGAAGAGTCAGGGGTGTCAGGAAAAGCCTCTGCCCTCCTACATTCTCCACAAGGCCAGAAACAAGGCAGGCGCCTGCTCCCTTAGCCTCTGGATCCACACTGGCCTTCCTCTGCCACAGCTCACCTGGGCCTCAGACTTGTCCCCATTTTCTTTTTCTGTGGCCTTTTCTCCCTCAGGGGTTGCATCTCCCTTAGGTTCAGGGGGTGGGGGCTGAGAGCCATCCTCCACTGGGGCCTCAGCTTCCTCCTTGAGCTCCACCTGCTCCCCAGGCTCGTCCTTGCTCCCCTCTGCAGGGCTCTCCTCTTCCTCCTGGGAAACACCACAGGCGCCCCAGGGAACGATCAGGAGCAGAGCCTCCAGGCAGGCCTGGCTCGGCACCGCCGACCCCATGGGGGTTCCATACAGGTGACTGCTGTATGGAAACGGTCAATGGCCTGCTTGGACTGTGGCAATCTAGCTGGACAAAGGAAGAGCATCTGCAATGAGGGGAATGGGCCTTGGGAGCACCAGTCAAGAAACAGCTCAGAGCCCAGAGGATCCTGGGGAGTGAATGGTTAACACAACAGGGGCAGGGGTGGCCTACCCTCACCCCCTTCCTCTGCGGCTACTACCTGCATCCCCCACCGTCCTCCATGCTTCCCTGGCTCCATCCTGAACTCACCTGGACAGTATCAGTACCATTCTCCTTGGCATCTGGTGTGGTACCGCCTCCAAACAGGCTGGAAATGGTGTTGCCAAGTTCTAGGGGGAGTAAAACCCAAAGACTCAAAAGGAGACCACAGCAGTGACTCCACCTTCTAACCCAAGGGCCATGCCCTGTCCACCTCCCCAACCTTCACACAAGTATATTCTCTCCCATACACACATGCATGCTCATCTTACTGGTGAGAGTAGATTCCTCTTCTGCGCTGTCCTCTACCAGTGTCTCAAATACAGACTCCACCTGAAAACAGGTTCAAAATGAAAAAATACACAGGCTAATCCACCTTTTCTCCACAAACATCTGCCAAAGTGGGTGTTTGCTTATGCACACTCCATGCCGTCACAGGCCTAGTCTCTCACCTGCCTTTTCTAAGGACTTGGAGGTGGCTGCCCATCTCCTTTGATTAAGAGCCCTCCATGAATAGGGTCCCAGCTCCTCTTTCTCCAAAGAGCCCCCTACTTCTCCACTCAATAACTGTATTGGCTATTACATCCATATTACCCCCAGATTTGTTCTTCAAAAACGGATTCCTGGCCGAGTGCAGTGGCTTATGCCTGTAATCTCAACACTTTGGGAGGCCAAGGCAGGTGGATCACTTGAGGTCAGGGGTTTGAGACCAGACTGGCCAACATGGTGAAACCCTATCTCTACTCCAAATAACAAAAATTAGCCAGGTGTGGTGGCAGGCGCCTGTAATCCCAGCTACTCAGGAGGCTGAGACAGGAGAGTCACTTGAACCCGGGAGGCGGAGGTTGCAAGATCACGTCACTGTACTCCAGCCTGGACAACAGAGCAAGACTCTGTCTCAAAAAAAGTAATAATAATAATAAGTGGATTCCTGAGGCTGCGTGGCTCCCACCCATAATCCCTGTACTTTGGGAGGTTGAGGCAGGATGATCGCTTGATCCCAGGAGTTAGAGACCAGTCTGGCAACATAGTGAGACCCTATCTCTATAAATAAAGTACAAAAAAATTTCGCAGGATATGGTGGCACATACGTATCGTCCCAGCTACTCAAGAGGCTGAGATGGGAGGATCATTTAAGCCCAAGTGTTCAAGGCTGGAATGCGCTATGACCATGCCATTATATTCCAGCTTAAGTAACAGAGCCAAGACCCTCTCCAAAAAAAAAAAAAAAAAAAAAAAAAAAAAAAAAAAAAGAGTGGATTCTTCAAACCATTCAATTGTTCCAAGAAATTTACAATGCCTATATCAAACCATTCAATAGTTCCAAGAAATTTACAATGCCTATAAGCATTTATAGGCTATAAGGAGGTCTGCACCAGATCATCAGTTAGCTCTGTTCAGAGCCAACATTTTTCTGATTCCTAAACCTTTTTTGGTTATCTTATCCTAATGCCATGTGGAACCCACTTTGGAAATGGCTGGCAGGGCCTGAGCCCCTGCTCTGCACACAGGGTATCCTTTAGCTCTCACCCTGTCTAGACTGAGCACGCCACTCTCATCCAGGTTGAAGTGAGCCTTGATGCCCTTGGACTCGTAGTCAGGATACTTCTTGAAGCTGTCACCCACCCCTTTTAGCTTCACTGTGGTCAGATTCTGGGAGCCAAATACCCTGGTTGGGAAGGAAAGAGGAGTTCAGGGGGACCCACCCCAGCCCATCTCGCCCTCTAGACTACATGGCCTCCTGGCACAAGGTGTCAGGGGCACTCCCCAAGGGCACACTCAAGAGGACGGATGCATTCTCCAGCGAAGCTGATCATAGCTGCCCTGTTTCAGCCCCGCAGGCCCACATCCTCCCTCACCCCCAGTCCTCAGATTATCCAGCAGCCACGCCTCCCCCTCCCTGGAGCTCCCATCCTACACCCCTGCCCCTCACCGAAGATCTTCAGGCCCCAGGAAGCCCAGGTCGCCGTAGTTGATGTGGAAGTTGAAATCATGGCTGTAGCGGTTAAAGGTGATGACTTTGCGTTGAGGGTAGGGCCCCATCCGAGAGAAGAGTACCCGTTTATTGTGCTTCAGGCTGTGAATCCCAGGCTCCTCCTCCACCTCCCTCGTGAACTCCACCTACACAGCAGGCAGACAGAGGCACACTGTTGCACACTAGAGAACCCGAGTAGGTTCTGGGGTAAGGATGGGGGTGGGATGGGGGAGACCTCTTAGCAGAAAGACAAAGGGATGAGCCAGAGCAGACAGAAGGGGAAACCCTACTTGGGAGAGGTAAAGGGAGCTTGTCACCTGCTCAGTCAGGCTCACTCACCAGGATGGGGTAGACCACTGCATCTCGGACGACAAATGGCTTCACTTTAAAGGCTTTGCTGAGCGCAGCTGCCTGGTACACTGCCCCCATGGCGGCTGCTTCATCTGCATTGATGTTCTTCCCCAGCTCCTCCCTGGGAAAGCCCCAAGCCTCAGCACGGTCTACCCTGGAGCATGCAACCGGGACTTCCCTCCCCTCAGCCCTCCAGCTGCTCAGCCCAAAGCCCTGCCCCAGGCAGAACTCAGCCAAGCGCTCTAGCCCCCACACTCACTTGCCCACGGCCTTCAGCAGCACCTCCTGAACTCTGGGGACCCGAGTGGCCCCACCCACCAGGATCACCTGCTCAATCTCATCCTGCAGTGGGTAAGAATGACAGGTGCAACAGCATGCAGTTAGCACTGACTCGTCCCTTGACGTCCCATGGGTTTCCTATGCCCTTTCCTACGGGGCATTCCCGCCTTCCCCTACTCGCTCACCAGACTCATTTCGGCACTCTGGAGGGCCTGCTGTACAGGCCCAGGCACCCGCTCAAACAAGTCTGCACACAACTCCTCAAATTCCACACGAGTCACTTTTGCCTTGAAGTCCACATCATCCATCAGGCCTTCAATCTGGGAGAGGATGGGGACTGTCAGGGGGTTCTTGCCCAGCTCCCGCTCTCTTGGTGAGTAGGACAGAAACAAAAAGAATAGGTCTTTGGGAGGATGGTAGCGGGAGGAGCATGGGCCATGCCAGGCACGAGCAGCCCAGTTCAGTGGCAGGGTCCCCCACCCTCTACGTGGGACAAAATATAGCCTCAACCAGCCACTTGTGGGCACCTGTGCCATGTGGTCAGCGTTGGCACTGAGGACGGTTTTGAGCCGATTAGCCTCACGCAGCAGCTTGGCCATGGCACGCGGGTTCTCCCGCACATCCTTTGCTCTCTGACCCTTGCGCTGCTCATTGAAAAGCCCAGCCAGGCGTTCTCGAAGCCGGAGCTCCATCTCCAGGCCCCCCAGGGTACGGTCAAATCTGTTGAGAAAAGGGAGCAGGGAAAAAAGTGAAGAACACATGGAGTCCCCGCATCTGCACAGGAGCCTCTCATCCCCACATGGCACCTTTCCTTCATCTCAGGGGACCTTGTTCATCTCCAGTGCCCCATGTGTGGACACACACTCTGCCCTCAACTCTCTACAGCACAGCTGACACCTCGCAGTGACCCTTCTTCCACTCATTCATTCGACAGTGTTTACTGAGCATTACTTATGTACTTCCCTCTGGGAATACAAATGTGGCGGTGGGGAGAGAGACAGGGTCCCTGCTATGGAAAAGTTGAATAATCACACAAATGTGAAATTATCACTACGTCACATGTTGTAAAGGTGAGGGGACAATGCCTGCAGAACATGCATGGGGGGAGATTCAGGCTACTGAGGGAGACCCAAGAACATGTCTCCTAAAAAGTGATGCTTGAACTGAAACCTGAAGGATGAGTTCAGTGCAAGCATCACTTGAACTGAAGAGTTCAGAGTTCACTAGCTGGAGGGGAAAGAACATTCTAGACAGAGGCAACAACGTTCATAAAGACCTTGAAGTGGGAGAGTGCATGGCAAGTTCCGGAGGAGGGCAAGCATCACTGGGGCTCAAAAAGCGAGAGGGCTCAGGGCTCAGACAGGCTGCAGAAGGCAGGGTTGAGACAGGCACAGGGAAAGTTATGGAGCCAGCGACAGGTTTTTAAAGAAACAGGTAATGATTAGGTTGGATTTTAAGAAGAACCCTCTGGCTGCAATATGAAGAAAGAACTGAAAGGAGACGTCACTAGGAACAGGGAGATGTTTTTAATTCTGCAAATAAGAGGTGATGGTAACTTGGGCTGGGTGGTAATGGTGAAGACGGAAAAAGATGATTTCAAGAAATAAGACAACAGGGCACATGTTCTCAGGATCTCCTGAGGGCTATGTCACAGGCCATAAAAAAAAATTTAAAAAGAGGTAAGACAACAAGAATGGTAAATTATTTAACTGGAAATGACAAGAGAACAAAAACATGATTGAATCTGACACCCTACATATTGCCTGCGGCTCCATGGATTTCCTTAGAATACATTTTGAAAGTTCCATGTCTTCCAGTTTTCCCAAACTGTCCTCCCCTGAGCCTCAGCTTCCCCTTACTCTTTGTGAGTGGTCCCCTACAATGACTGATGCCTCAATCAGGAGACCATTCCTGCAGCATGCAGGAAAGCAAAGCAGTGTGTCTCCTCCAAGAAGAAACCCCTGACTTGAGGGTCTTCACAAGCAGCCCTCCCTGCCAAGTATCCACTTACCCTACTCCCCGGATCTGCAGCTGTGGCTGCATCCCAGCTTCCTTAGTCTTCACCATCTGGTAGGTCACAATGGTGCATACGGTGCTGCCTGAGCCCATGTCATAGAACATGATATTCTGTAGAGATATCAAGGCAACTGTCACAGGAACCTTCTCAAACTCCAGGGGGCCTGCCTGCCCACCCACCTGCTTCCAATGGGCTGTCTGACTCTTAACACAAAACTAAACAGCTCCAACAGGGGCTGGGAGGAGGCTATTGGTGCATTTTGCCAAGGGTCAGCCCAGCCATGCAAACCAGATGCAAAAGGGACCAAGTGGCCTCCATCCTTAGATTCAGTCACCCTGCATGTCTGGTCAAGGCTCCCCTGGCTCACCTGGGCAGTGGTGTTAATATCTTTCCGGCGGAAGACACCATAGCTGAGGGCAGTGGCGGTGTTGTCATTGATGAGCTGCAGCACTTTGAGGCCAGCCATACGAGCAGCCTGCAGCACAGCTCGGCGCTCGGCCTGGTTGAAGAAGACTGGCACGGTGATCACTGCATCCTTGATGGGCTGCTCTACAGATGACAACAGAAAAGGGTCCCGCCGGCTCCATACCTTAGATGAGGGCTTCTAATCTGGTCACTAATGACATTTTGGACTAGGTAATTCTGTGTTGTGGGGCTGTCCTGTGCACTGTAGGATGTTGAGCAGCATCCCCGGCCTCTACCCACTAGATAGCAGGTGCACCCCTCAGATGTGACAACCAAAATCTATCTTCAGATGTTGCTAAATGTTCCCTGGGAGGCAAACTTGCCCCTGTTGGAGAATCACTGCCCTAGATCCTGGGGAGCCTGGCCCTAAGGGCCCCACCTTGACCACTCACCTGCAAAATCTTCAGCTAGAGAACGAGAATAATTGAGAACCATGCCCAACACTTCCTCAGGTGAGAACTGCAGCTGCCTGAGGGGAAGGAAGGTAGTTGGAGCCAAGGAAAGCCAGGCATTAAGGCAGGACAATCAGGAACACACACCAATGAGGAGCCCAGCAGCGTTGCCGAGACCACCTTCCCCAACAGAGCACTCACGAGCTGATCTGAAAGTGCACAGTCTGCCTCTGTGGGTCGAAAGTCAGCTCGTGCTCCGGGAAGCGGGCCTGGTAAAGAGCTACATGGGGGTTATCTGCCTGCTTCCCCAGGAGGTGCTGGAAGTAACGTAGCGTAGCCTTTGGATTCTTAATCGCCTGAGGGGTGAAGAAGGAGCAGACTAGTATTAGGCTCCCAAGTCCACCATTACCTACCTCTTACATCACAGAGACTGATAAGGAAACAGACTCTGGGGGCTGCCATCTCCTCTCCTCTGCCCACCACTCTGGGAAGAGGGACTGCTAGCTCACCATGCTTGCTGCACTGTCTCCAAAGAATCTTTCATTTTCTTTCAGGGTCACGATCACCGGTGTTTTCCTCCGAGATTCCCTGAGGAAAAGAGATTTTGGGCCCAGGTGCCTGCAGCAGAAGGACTCAGAAGCCTCGACACTCACACACATTTAACCACTCAGATGCCGAAGTCTGCTGTGGGCACTATGACTAACACATTCACACTTGGAGCCCAGACTCCCTCGTTCCCCACCCTTAACACGGGGGCCACCCTCACTTATTCAAGACAATTTCCATGGGCACTCCAGGTTTGACAATGGCCACCTTCATGGACTCACTGCCCAGGTCCACAGACATCACTGCCAGTGTATCTGAAGGGAAAAGAGGTTTGTCAGTTAGCTCTCCCTTCGCCCACCTTCCTGGGACTCCCTCTAATCAAAGCATACCACTTTCCATGGGTAAACGAAGATGGCAAAAGACAAAAAGGCCTGGACCTAACAACTCAAGAGACTTCTGGCCAACAGCCCCAAGCTCAATTCCCATCATGCATCCTTCAGTCATCATTTATCCATTTGCTCCCTCTACTGGGGTACATACCACTCAGTGCCAACAGGTCTGCCAAGAGCACAGCCACCAAGGCCCAACAGACTCGCCTCCTCGGCCTCTGCCTCCTAACTTTGTCTGCCATAGTGCCCCTGGGGGAGGCGAAGAAAGAAAACACTTAAAACTGGATACCCGGAGTGAAGGAGACAGAATCACATCCCAGAACGGAGAGGCTGTAAGATTCATATCTACTTCATTCTTACCCAGGGCAGATCAGCCTACTTCTCCCCTTCTCCCTCCTGATGGGTACAAACCATTCTCTAATCATCCCAGCAGCGCCCACACAAAGGCCCAAGTGAAAGAGCATGGGTCCTCGGCTTTGCCACATCCCTAAACAGAGAAGCTAACAGGACAAGAGAAAGGAGACCCGAGCCTTTTGTCCACCACACAGGCAGTGAGTGGCGCACCGCAGCACTGTGCCTGTTGTCAGACACCTGGGGTGCGGCCAGGGATCCCCGCCCAGGGCTCAACCACCTCCCCACACCTGGAGCTCCCCCGCTGACGGGGAAAGCCAGCTGGGCCTGGACGGGAAGAGAAAGGTAATGACGTTGGGGGTAGCTAGGATGAAGGAAAGGCCTATCTCCTCCTCGGCATCCCTGCGGGTTGTCCCGCCCCCTCCCCTTTCCCAGCTCACTCCCCGGCCCCGCTGTGCCCACAGACGCAGTGCCAGGGGCGGTAAGGTTCCCCGCCCGGCGGGTAGCCGTTACCCGGTGTTCACCTAAACCCCACCTGACGAAGGCGGCGGCTCCCACTCCCGGAAACGGATCCCGGCCCGCCCCAGCAAGTGGGGACAGACCGGGGGCCGAGCTGCGTGCCCCCCGGTGCGAGGCCGAGCGCCCGGCGTCCGCGCGGCCCTCCCTTGCGCTCCCGACCCGCCCCCGGAGCTCGCACGCTGTCTCCCCTAGGAGGGGTGGCCGGCCCGCACCTCCATCCACCCCCGCTACCTCTTGCCTCCGCTCCTGCGGCCCCAGCTCTGGGACAGACGCGGCACGAACGTACCCACGAGGCCGGCAGCGCCCCCCACCCGCGCCCTTCACAACTCCTCTCGGTTTGCAAACTGTTACATTAGCCACCAACCTCTCGGCGGCGTCTCGCGCACCAGCCGGCCCCGGACGCGGCGCGCGCTCATTGGAGCCTCGGCCGCCCGGCCCTGCGCTGCGCGCCCGGCCCCGCCCCCGCCGCCCCGGCGCGCGTACTCATTGGACCACGTCCCAGGCCCCGCCCCCTCCCTTTGCCAGCCTTGTAATGGGGCGGCGGAGGGGACCAGCCACCGGTTGGGCAGAAGCAGCCGGCGTCGGCCTGGGATTGGACCACGTCACGGGGCCAGCGCGCTCCACTCCTTCCTCCCCAGCGCCGGCCCCGGGGCGACCGCGGGACCTTTTCCGGCGCTGGATGCTTTGCTGCCGGGGTTCGGGAGTGACCTGCGCCTAGAGCAGGTCGGGCGCACTGCAGTCCCGCACTCGGGGCTCTTCTTCCGGTCACCTGTAGAGCCCGGCCGAGGAATGGAATAACAGGCGTCCTGTCCGCAGCCCCGCGGAGGGGGCGCTGGCCTGCCGGTTAGTATTGAGGTGCCCTAGGCTTTGGATAGACGTTGGAGAATGGCTGTCCCTCGGACTGAGTCCGTCGCAACCCCCTCTGTTTTACTGAGGAAACTGAAGCCACAGAAAAAGATGTTTGCTGATGGGTCAGAGATAACCGATGCATTCGTCGCAGAATCTGGCCAGGATTTCTTAGGTTAAGCCCCACTCATTTGTATAAGAAAGAATATTCCAAACTTAAGTACTACACACAAAAGACACTTTTATTTGTGAGGCTATAGTTGGTTGAGCTTGTGTGCACCTTCTCCTATTTCTGTTCTATTAAATCTTGTGAACATTTCTCTACTCTTTAGCTGTTTCTGTCATAGAATGACAGAAGCACCTCACTGCCTTCTCTTTTAACTTACAGCTCCATAGAAATGTGCGCAGTCGCCCGGGCGCGGTGGCTCACGCCTGTAATCCCAGCATTTTGGGAGGCCAAGGCGGGCGAATCACTGGAGGTCAGGAGTTCGAGACCAGCCTGGCCAACATGGTGAAACCCCGTCTCTACCAAAACTACAAAAATTAGCCAGGCGTGGTGGCGGGTGCCTGTAATCCCAGCTACTCACGAGGCTGAGGCAGGAGAATTGCTTGAATCCGGGAGGCAGAGGTTGCTGTGAGCCCAGACTGCGCCACTGCACTCCAGCCTGGGCGACAACAGCGAGACTCCTTCTCGAAAAAGAAATGTACGCAGTCCTTGGAGACTGCATTTTCCTTAAGTGTGGATGGAAATAAGTCATCTGTTTTCTCTCCTACTAAGTTGATGCCTGGCCACCCTTCACAGAAAGGCCCGCTTGAAGACCCTGGCTGTCAGGGCCAGGGTTGTGTCAAGCCTGAACTTGTTTAAGGAGCTCTTAGCTCTTCCTTTCTCTACATTTTTCGTGATGCTTAGGTGGAGAGTGGTCCGGTGTCTATGCTTAGAAGGAAAAATTATTGGCAGTCCCAGAGAGAGTCTATTCTTCCTTTTTTTTTTTTTTTTTTTTTTATTGATCATTCTTGGGTGTTTCTGGCAGAGGGGGATTTGGCAGGGTCATAGGACAATAGTGGAGGGAAGGTCAGCAGATAAACAAGTGAACAAAGGTCTCTGGCTTTCCTAGGCAGAGGACCCTGCGGCCTTCCGCAGTGTTTGTGTCCCTGGGTACTTGAGATTAGGGAGTGGTGATGACTCCTAACGAGCATGCTGCCTTCAAGCATCTGTTTAACAAAGCACATCTTGCACCGCCCTTAATCCATTTAACCCTGAGTGGACACAGCACATGTTTCAGAGAGCACAGGGTTGGGGGTAAGGTCATAGATCAACAGCATCCCAAGGCAGAAGAATTTTTCTTAGTACAGAACAAAATGAAGTCTCCCATGTCTACTTCTTTCCACACAGACACAGCAACAATCCGATCTCTATCTTTTCCCCACCTTTCCCCCTTTTCTATTCCACAAAACCACCATTGTCATCATGGCCCGTTCTCAATGAGCTGTTGGGTACACCTCCTAGACGGGGTGGTGGCCGGGCAGAGGGGCTCCTCACCTCCCAGAAGGGGCGGCCGGGCAGAGGCGCCCCCCACCTCCCGGACGGGGCGGCGGCCGGGCGGAGGCGCCCCCCCACCTCCCTCCCGGACGGGGCGGCTGGCCGTGCGGGGGCTGGCCCCCCACCTCCCTCCCGGACGGGGCGGCTGGCGGGGTGGCTACGGCGGGGCAGAGGCGCTCCCCACATCTCAGATGATGGGCGGCCGGGCAGAGACGCTCCTCACTTCTTAGACGGGATGGCGGCCGGGAAGAGGCGCTCCTCACTTCCCAGACTGGGCAGCCGGGCAGAGGGGCTCCTCACATCCCAGACGATGGGCAGCCAGGCAGAGACGCTCCTCACTTCCCAGACGGGGTGGCGGCCGGGCAGAGGCTGCAATCTCGGCACTTTGGGAGGCCAAGGCAGGCGGCTGGGAGGTGGAGGTTGTAGCTAGCCGAGATCACGCCACTGCACTCCAGCCTGGGCAACATTGAGCACTGAGTGAACGAGACTCCGTCTGCAATCCCGGCACCTCGGGAGGCCGAGGCTGGCGGATCACTCGCGGTTAGGAGCTGGAGACCAGCCCGGCCAACACAGCGAAACCCCGTCTCCACCAAAAAAACACAGGCGTGGCGGCGCGCGCCCGCAATCGCAGGCACTCGGCAGGCTGAGGCAGGAGAATCAGGCAGGGAGGTTGCAGTGAGCCGAGATGGCAGCAGTACAGTCTAGCTTCGGCTGGGCATCAGAGGGAGACCGTGGAAAGAGAGGGAGAGGGAGACCCTGGGGAAAGGGGGAGGGGGAGGGAGAGCTATTCTTCCTTTTAAGAGTAGTTATGTATTCAGGCAGTAGACAAATTGGTAGAAATAGAAATTCAGTTAAAATTTTAACAGAATTTAATTACACAAATAATACACAAATGTAATCTTTAAAAAATTCATTCTACACAAAGGCAAATTTCCTTGATGCCAACCCAAACCCCCACTCTCTCTTGTGGAGGCACCTGCTATTGTCAGTGTGGTGTATAAGTTTCCAGGTCTTTCCCTCTTTTACACATATAGATATCCTAGAAACATGTAGCTTTTATCTTTTCATAATATACATTTTTTATTTTTTGCAACCAACACCTTGTTTGCCTTTTATCTTTTTTAAAACCATAAAATGTTACACAATTACATTGTTTGCAATTTTTTTAAACTAATAATAAAGTGTGGAGCATTTTCCATGTAACTGTGGTTCATTTCCTCGTTTACTGCTGTAGAACATTCCATAGCATGGGGTTCGTTCTGCCATAATGATAGACATATACGCTGTCAGTTCAATTCCACAGGGAAAGATTTTGTTTCTCAGTAATAGACTCCACTTTTGGCCAACTATCCAGTAGAGTCTTTCCATCCATTTTTTATTTTTTTTTGCGACAGAGTCTGTGTCATCCAGGCTGGAGTGCAGTGGTGCAGTCTTGGCTCACTGCAACCTCCACCTCCCGGGCTCAAGCGATTCTCCTGGCTCAGCCTCCCAAGTAGCTGGGACTACAGGCACACACCACCATGCCTGGCTAATTTTTGTATTTTTAGTAGAGTCAGGGTTTCACCATGTTGGCCAGGCTGGTCTCGAACTCCTGACCTCAGGTGATCCGCCTGCCTCGGCCTCTCAAAGTGCTGGGATTACAGCGTGAGCCACCACGCCCAGCCTTTCCATCCATTTCAAACAGAGAGTATGCGTTTTAACATTTATTGGGCCACTCTGATATGCAAGCACTGGGCTAGGTGCTGCTAATCCAGAGATGGGCATGAGCTTGTCCTTACCCTCAAAGAAGTCATAATGTGTTGGGAAACTGGGAAACAAATATGTTCATCGTTTCATGCGCTTATTAAAAATCTATTTGGGGGGCCGGGCACAGTGGCTCACGCTTGTAATCCTAGCACTTTGGGAGGCCGAGGCAGGCAGATTGTCTGAGCTTAGGAGTTCAAGACCAGCCTGGGCAACATGGTGAAACCCCGTCTCTACTAAAATACAAAAAAATTAGCCCAATGTGGTGGTGCATGCCTGTAATCCCAGCTACTCAGGAGGCTGAGGCAGGAGAATTGCTTGAACCCAGGAGGCAGAGGCTGCAGTGAGCCGAGATTGTACCACTGTACTCCAGGCTGGGCGACAGAGTGAGACCCTGTCTCAAAAAAAAAAAAAAAAAGAAGAAGAAGAAGAAAGCTCTCGAAGCTCCTAAGAGAGCTCCAACCATGAATACCCCTGGTGGGAGCATGGTTCTGCCACAGCTACAGTTCTCAGCCTGGGTATCTGTCCCCCTGGGTAGTGAAGCAGGTGCAAGTGCTCTGAGGAGTCAGCTGTTTTGTTCTGGGACCAGAGGGTAGAATAGTATTTCACAAGAACAAGCTGAAGAACAATGGGAAATTTTTAATGTAAAACACCTGATTTAGATTGACCTAGGCAGGTGAACTCATTGGTTCTTCTCCAGAATAACTTGTTAACATTGGAGGACTATATCCCTTCCCCAACACTGCAGAAACCTAAGGGAAGAAAGTTGCCGTCTTGCAGAACATGTGCCAAACTGACAGAGGTGTAAAATAGACATATCGGTGAGGGTATATATGCACATAAACCATGCAAATTACATGATGGGCTGAGGGCAGTGTTGATCAGAGAGAATATCCTACACCAGAAGAATTTTTAAAAATTAGTTGTCGGCTGGGGGTGGCTCCCGCCTGTAATCCCTGCACTTTGGGAGGCTGAGGCAGGTGGATCATGAGGTCAGGAAATCAAGACCATCCTAACACGGTGAAACCCCATCTCCACTAAAAATACAAAAATTGGTGGTGGCATGTGCCTGTAGTCCCAGCTACTCAGGAGGCTGAGCCAGAAGAATTGCTTGAACCCAGGAGGTGGAGGTTGCAGTGAGCCGAGATCGCGCCACTGCACTCCAGTCTGGGCGACTGAGCCAGACTCCATCTCAAAAAAAAAAAAAAAAAAAAAAAATTGGCCCGGCGTGGTGGCACGCACCTGTAATCCTAGGTACTGGGGAGTCTGAGGCAGGAGAATTGCTTGAACCTGAGAGGTGGAGGTTGTAGTGCGCCAAGATTGTGCCACTGCACTCCAGCCTGGGTGACACAGTGAGACTCTGTCACAACAACAACAAAAAAAAGTAAACATATGTTCACCCAGAGGCTGTTGGTAATAGCTTTATTTATAACAGCCCCGGGCTGAAAACTATCCAAATGCTCATCAACAATTGGATAGATAAATGAATCAGAGATTCATACAGTGGAATTCTATACAGCAATAAGAATGAGTGGACTATTATTACATAGGACAACTTAGATGAATTCTACAAACATAATACTGAGTGAAAGAAGCCCAAGTACATACTGTATGATTTAAATATCAAGTTTAAAAGCTGGCAAAACTAAGCTACAGGGATAGAAGTCAGGATGCTGCTATCCTTTAGATACAGGGTCTTGCTCTGTTGCCCAAGCTGGAGGGTTTAGAAGAGGACATAAGGCAAGCTTCTAGGGGTGCTAGATATGTTCCCCCCACTCCTTTTTTTTTGAGAGAGAGTCTCACTCTGTCACCCAGGCTTGTGTGCAGTGGCACAATCTCAGCTCACTGCAACCTCTGCCTCTGGGGTTCAAGCCATTCTCCAGCCTCAGCCTCCCAAGTAGCTGGGACTGTAGGCGTGCAACACCATGCCCAGCTAATTTTTGTATTTAGTAGGGACAGGGTTTCACCATGTTGCCCACGCTGGTCTCGAACTCCTGACCTCAGGTGATCTGCCTGCTTCGGCCTCCCAAAATACTGGGATTACATGCCTGAGTCACTGTGCCTGGCTGCTAGCCATGTTCTCATTGCTGATTACGATGGGAGTGTCCAGTTAGTTTGTGGAATTTCAGTGGGTTGTACTACTCTACAACTTTTTTGTATGTTGTTACTTCAATAAAACATTTAAAAATTATTTTGTCTGTCATACAAACAACTCTAGGGTTTGTTGTTGTTGTTGTTTTGAGACAGGGTGCTCACTCTCTTGCCCAGGCTGGAGTGCAGTGGTGTGATCACAGCTCACTGCAGCCTCCATCTCCTGGGCTTAAGCAATTCTCCCTCCTCAGCCTCTCAAGTAGCTGGAACTACAGGTGCACATCACCACACCTGACTACTTATTTCTTTATTTATTTTTAGTAGAGACGAGGTCTGCCTATGTTGCCCAAGCTGGTCTTGAACTCCAGGCCTCAAGTAATCCTCCCACCTTGGCCCCCCAAAGTGCTGGATTATAGGCATAAGCCACCTTGCCTGGCCTCAAGAGACTCTAGGTTTGACTTTGCTGTAACCCTAGGCAGGAGAGAGCCCATTTTCAGCAGGAGATAAACCAAGATAAATTTTTTCCTACTTCTATAACAATATTTTTAGAATTACAAAAGAAATATGTGGCTAGGGCCAGGCACGGTGGCTCACAGTACTTTGGGAGGCCCAGGCGGGTGGGTCATTTGTGGTCAGGAGTTTGAGACCAGCCTGGACAACATGGTGAAACCCTGTCTCTAGTAAAAATACAAAAATTAACTGGGTGGTAGTGGTGTGTGCCTGTAATCCCAGATACTTGAGAGGCTGAGGCAGGAGAATCACTTGAACCTGGGAGGCAGAGGTTGGGGTGAGCTGAGATCGCGCCATTGCACTCCAGCCTGGGCGACAGAGTGAGACCCTGTCTCCCCGGCCCCCGCCTCCAAAAAAAAGAAAGAAATATGGTGGCTTACACTTGTAATCCTAGCACTTTGGAAGGCTGAGGCGTGTGGATTGCTTGAGCCTAGCAGTTTGTGACTAGCCTGGGCAACAGGGCAGAACACTGTCTCTACTAAAAGTACAACAACAACAAAATTAACTGGGCATGGTGGCATGAGCCTGTAGTCTCAGCTACTGGGGAGGCTGAGGTGGGAGTATCTCGTGAGCCTAGGAGGTGGAGACTGTGGTGAGCCGTGATTGTGCCACTGCACTCTAGCCGTGTCTCAAAAAACAAAACAAAACAAAAAAGAACGAAAGAAATATGCGGTTATTGACGAAAACTGGAAGAACATTAAAACAACAACAGGCCGGGCGTGGTGGCTCATGCCTGTAATCCTAGCACTTTGGGAGGCAGAGGCGAGTGGATCACTTGAGGCCAGGAGTTTGAGACCAACCGGGGAAACATGTCAAAACCATGTCTCTACAAAAAATACAAAAACTAGCCGGGCATGATGGCGTGCGCCTGTAGTCTCAGCTACTTGGGTGGCTGAGGCACAAGAATCGCTTGAACCTGGGAGACGAGACAGAGGTTGCAGTGAGTCGAGATCGTGCCACTGCACTCCAGCCTGGGCAATGGAGGGAGACTCTATCTCAAAAAGAAAAGAAGGTAGTTTCTACCTGGAGAGCCAGATGATAAAAACGGAAAATTAAAGTTTGCTGAGGCAACTACACAGGAGGCTGAGGCAGGAGAATCACTTGAACCTGGGAGGCGGACGTTGCAGTGAGCCGAGATCACGCCACTGCACTCAAGCCTGACGACTGGCGACAGAGCGAGACTCCGTCTCAAAAATAAAATAAAATAAGATAAAAATAAATTAAAGTTTGCATTTGGGACAAGAAGTGTTCCTGTTTTGTTCCAGTGGATGTAACTGTTTTATATCATGGGCAGCAGTTTGCTAAAGGGAAAAGAAAATACTGCAAGACAATTCTTGCATTCTTGATTCTGAGTTATGACCTCTCTAATTCGAAACTAAAGACTTGTATTTCTTCTTTATCTTTAGTCCATTCAGAACTCGAGTTCTCAGTATGCAGAACTAACTGTAAGTGAACAGTCATTTTCTGTGTAATTTGCTTGGTTATATTCCTCACTATCCTGAAATTCCTGGGTTCAGACCAGTGTAACTAAGAGACAAACCCTGGTGTATGTTCTGACAAGCATAATCTAGCTTTACACCCATCAAACTATCTAATTAGAGGGTAGGGGACTGAATTACTCATTTTATTTCCAAAGAACTTTGAAGTTTTTGCCCAGAGAGAGCCACTTTAAGTTAAACTCTTTGAGACTCCATTTCTCATCAGGGATAATGATACCTCTTCTGCAGATGGTTGCTACGAAGATTCCATGAAAAGCGAAGGCACTTTATTAGATATAATTTACTACATGAAATTAGGGGCTTGTTACTGTCAGTTCTTTTTATGCCTGTCTCTAGGGTGGTGGTTGAGGACCATGTCTTGTTCATTTATATTCTGGGCATTTGGTACAATTCCTGGACTAGGAGTGCTCAATACATATTTGTCAAAAGAAGGAAAGGAAAGAAGGTAGTAAGTCTGAAGAGGTGCTGTGGGTCTCTCTGGCAGGCCAATCTCGGCCTTTGTAACCCTCATCAATAAGAGGATCCAATGGGCACAAGTAGAACCAGATTCAGCCCTCAGAGGAAGACGTGGAGCTTCTGCCATTGGACAACAGGGGGAGCACCCAAGCAACAAAGATGCACTCTATCTCTTGTTCACATCTCTGCTTTTACATTTCTTCTTTTTTGAAGCCTGTTGCCCACGCTGGTCTTGAACTCCTGGCCTCAAGGGATCCTCCTGCCTCAGCCTCTTAAAGCGCTGGGATTACAAGCATGAGCCAGCTTGCCTGGCCACATTGCTTCTTTTAACATATATTCTTCATAGGCTTAACAACTGACATATTAACATACTATCTAAACATTCTGATGACCAGTATGGAATATGCTCAGTAGGTGAAAGTGGGTTCAACCCGCTCCCATTTGTGCTTCTGCCCAACAGTTGGTATCCTGAAACAGTTGCAATGAATTGGAGATATCCTGTGTGATGAAGAGGAAAGAAACTTGAGTTGGAAGTCAGGAAATCTGTGTGCATGGTGGTGGCTAGAGTTTCTTCCTATCATTTACCTCTTCAGACAAATGGACGCCACCTGCCCATCAACCAGATTGAGGAGAGGAGTGGATAAGAGGAGAGGCATCCACACCACATTCATTCCTTCAACCAAACATGGAACTTCTACCAGGCTCTGCTAGGCCTCGTTCACAGTTACGGTACAAGATGTAGCCCCCGCTCTCAGGGAACTCTGGCTGGTGGAAATACAGCATCAAATATTCTGAAATAAGTTGGGGGAGGGCCGGGTGCGGTGGCTCACGCCTGTAATTCCAGTACTTGGGAGGCCGAGGCGGGTGGATCACCCGAGGTCAGGAGTTCGAGACCAGCCTGGCCAAAATGGCAAAACCCCAACTCTACTAAAAATACAAAAATTAGCCAGGCGTGGTGGCAGGCAGCTGTAATCCCAGCTACTCAGGAGGCTGAGGCATAAGAATCGCTTGAACTCGGGAGGCGGAGGTTGCAGTCAGCTGAGATTGTGCCACTGCGCTTCAGCCTGGGGGATAGAGAGAGACTCTGTCTAAAAAAAAAAAAAAAAAAAAAGAAAAAAGAAAAAAAAGGAAGTTGGGGGAGTGCAAACAATAAACTTCACAAATACCACAGGGTCACTTTTCCATATGTCCCTACCATCTCAAAATGATGCTATGTCACTTCTGTCTATAGGTTCTCATGGCACACAAACAGTAAACCTGCAGTAGTTGTCCATGAGGATAGATCTTGCTTGGATTCAAAGATGGTTTAGCCAGAGTTGGGAGTGGAGAATGATCATGTAATATCTTGGACACCTGCCACTTCTCATTAAAACACTCAGCTCTCAAAGCTGCCACTTCCAGGTTTTTGCTCAGTTCTATGTCCCCTACCCTGCCACTATGAAAGGGGGAGAAAGCCCAGGGCCTTGGGAATTCCTGCCCCACCAGTATTTCCCAGTTTCCTTTTTTTTTTTTTGAGACAAGGTCTTGCTCTGTCGCCCATGCTGGAGTGCAGCGGCTCGATCACAGCTCACTGCAGCTTCCAACTCCGGGGCTCAATCGATCCTCCCACTTCAGCCTCCCAAGTAGCTGGGACCACAGGTGTCCACCACCATGCCAGGCTCATTTTTGTATTTTTTGTAGAGATGGGGTTTCACCATGTTGCCCAGGCTGGTCTCGAACACCTGGGCTCAAGTGATTCCCCCACCTCGGCCTCCCAAAGTGCTGGGATTACAGACAGGCATGAGCCATCGCGCCCAGCCCGTTTCCTTAAGAAACGTTTTGAGCGTCTGTTAGGTGTCATACGCTCTGACGGGGGAAACAAAAACGAATATAAAACATTGACTATGGTTCACAATCTGCGTGGTGGCAGACACAAACTTCTAATTTTATTTCTCCTCTCATACAGCCGAAAACCTGGTTTAACATACACTGTTTCATTTATGCCCCAAAACAGTCCTGTGAGGTCAAAACGTCATTCACTTACGCACGGCGGGTGACAGTTCACAAGGCACATGACATCCCTCATCTTGATCTCCCGGTATCCGCGCATTTTAGGAAGAAACATGCTCAAAGGGATGAAGGGTCCGCTCTCAAGCATTTTAGCTAGCGAAGTTACAGTCACATCCGGCAAACTCGCACACTGCAGATCTAGGACTACCCCGCGCGGCCCCGCCCACTTTCCCAGCAGCGGGACGCTGTCACCCCGACTCAGGAGCTCCTGGGCCCGCGGGCTCCCGGAAGCTGCCGACCACGTGATTCGCTGGCTCAGCTCACGTGACAAAGCTCCCGGAGGTGGGAGCCCTGGGCCAAAATGGCGGCCTACCTGCAGTGGCGGCGCTTCGTTTTCTTCGACAAGGAGCTGGTGAAGGAGCCGCTGAGCAATGATGGGGCCGCTCCCGGGGCCACACCTGCTTCTGGATCCGCTGCTTCCAAGTTCCTTTGCCTCCCTCCTGGCATCACTGTCTGCGACTCAGGCCGAGGGAGCCTGGTCTTTGGAGATATCCTTCGTTTGGAGCTGTCTTTTCCCTCCCGGGATCCCGAAGAGATCGAGTTAGGATGAAATCTGTTTGTCGGAGGGGTCCGTGCCGCGCGCCTCTTTGGTTTAGCTGGTCATCCAGAGTTGTTCTGTGGTCTACGGGAAGAAAGAAGGAAGTCCATCTCCTAACTTGTTATCAACTGAGCAATCCTGGGCAAGTCATTTAACCTCTCTGGGTTTTAATTTCCTTATCTGTAGGAGATGTGTGCATGCCAATTTGACGAGGTTAATTTGAGATCAATAAGAAAAAGAATGCAAGTTGGCTTTAAAAGATGAATATGTAAAGTGACATGATTTCCCCTGCCCTAATATTATCGTTGGCGAGGAGGTAAATGAGCCTAGCGGTTTGTTGCTTTCATCTTCATGTTGCTGCTACTAAATTCTGGCCTTTTTACCTTTTTTTTTTTTTTTTTTTTTTTGATACGGAGTCTTACTCTGTTGCCCAGGCTGGAGTGCAGTGGCGGGATCTGGGCTCACTGTAACCGTCTCTTGAGTTCAAGCGATTCTCCTGCCACAGCCTCCCGAGTAGCTGGGACTACAGGCGCTTGCCACCACACCCGGCTAATTTTTTACATTTTCAGTAGAGACGGGGTTTCACCATATTGGCCAGGCTGGTCTCGAACTCCTGACCTCGTGATCCACCCGCCTCGGCCTCCCAAAGTGCTGGGATTACAGGAGTGAGCCATCGCGCCCGGCGCACTAAATTTTTTTCTTTTTTTTGAGACGGACTTTCACTCTTGTTGCACAGGCTGGAGTGCAATGGCATGATCTGGGCACACTGCAACCTCCGCCTCCCGGGTTCAAGCAATTCTCCTGCCTCAACCTCCTGAGTAGCTGAAATTACAGGCACGCACCATTATACCTGGCTAATTTTTGTATTTTTAGTAGAGACAGGTTTCACCATGTTGGCCAGGCTGGTCTCGAACCCCTGACCTCAGGTGATCCGCACCCCCCCCCCCCCCCGGCCTCCCAAAGTGCTGGGATTACAGGTGTGAGTCACCGCGCCTGGCCTCACTCTTTTTAAGATAAGGAGTATGTGGGAAAATCCTTGAAAATTTTAGAGTTATATACATGTAATTGTTATCTGAGTTCTGGTCTGAATGTAAGTATCTCTCCTTGGAAAGGAGGCTCCTTGACTACCCTGCACATATGGAAGGCCAGATCTGGTTCTTGCCACGTTCCCTACAGCTTACAGGCTTCCAAGCCTACAAACTACGGGTGACACACCTGTACCAACTGAAGCAGCACAATATTCTGGCATCTGTTGGAGAAGATGAAGAGGGCATCAACCCCTTGGTGAGTCCCAGCAGGGAAATGGGAAAGATCCAGAAGCCTAGGAATGATTTTTTGTTGGAGGATGACTAGCATTTACACTTCTGAGGTCTGTCCACAGGTTAAGATCTGGAACCTGGAGAAGAGAGATGGTGGCAATCCACTCTGCACTCGAATCTTCCCTGCTATTCCAGGAACAGAGCCAACTGTTGTATCTTGTTTGACTGTCCATGAAAATCTCAACTTTATGGCCATTGGTAAACAGAAGGCAAAACTAACCCTCCTAGATTTGTTATAGATTTTCTTCAGAGTTGCTTCTGCCTCTCATCTTTACTGTTTTCAGGAGACCACTTTGTACTGAACTGAGGCCTTTGCGATATTAAATTTTGGAATGGGGGCCAGGCGCGGTGGCTCATGCCTGTAATCCCAGCACCTTGGGAGGCTGAGGTGGGCGGATCACCTGAGATTGGGAGTTTGAGATCAGCCTGACCAACATGGAGAAACCCCATCTCTACTAAAAATACAAAATTAGTTGGGTGTAGTGGCACATGCCTGTAATCCCAGCTACTAGGGAGGCTGCGGCAGGAAAATCACTTGAACCTGGGAGGCGGAGTTTGCAGTGAGCCAAGATCGCGCCATTGCACTGTAGCCTGGGCAACAAGAGCAAAACTCTGTCTCAAAATAAATAAATAAATAAATAAATAAATAAAATAAATAAAGTTTGGAATGGGAAGGCATTTAATTTTGTTCTTTGAAAATGTGTCAGTGAGTACCAATATTCAGGTTAACCATTAGAGAGGTTGGGTATATGGAGAAAGCTTGTCACTTCTGAGTGCCTCAAGTGGTCTTTTTTCCCCTCTCCACTTCCTGATCTTTTCAGCCTTACTGAAGTAATTTTCTTGTTTTCTTACAGGTTTCACAGATGGCAGTGTTACATTGAACAAAGGAGACATCACCCGGGACCGGCATAGCAAGACCCAGATTTTGCACAAGGGCAACTATCCTGTAACTGGATTGGCCTTTCGCCAAGCAGGAAAGACCACTCACTTGTTTGTTGTGACAACAGAGAACGTCCAGGTATGACCAAGGCCTCCACTCTTAGGAGCAGGCAGGGAGGGCTTCTCCATTGTTCAGGGGGATAGGGTAATGAAGTGACAGGAAAGGTGGGAGTGTTAAAGTTTTAATCATATAATTCGAATCATTTGCCTAGCTTTGTATTTTATTTTTTTGCCTAGGAAGCTGGAAAGAGTTAGACTCTGGGCTTGTAGTAAAAAGATGTGAATTTTCTTTCTTTTTTTTTTTTGAGACCGAGTCTCACTGTGTTGCTCAGGCTGGAGTGCAGTGGCGAGATCTTGACTCACTGTAACCTCAGTCTCCCAGGTTCAAGCAATTCTCCTGCCTCAGCCTCCTGAGTAGCTGGGATTACAGGCACACACCAGCATGTCCAGCTAATTTTTGTATTTTTAGTAGAGACAGGGTTTCACCATGTTGGCCAGTCTGGTCTCCAACTCCTGACCTCAGGTGATCCACCCACCTTGGCCTTCCAAAGTGCTGAGATTACAGGCGTGAGCCACCGCACTCGGCCTTGAATTTTATTTCTAACTAGCTTTTTTTTTTTTTTTCTTTGAGACAGGATCTTGCTGTGTAACCCAGGCTAGAGTGCAATGGTGCTGTCTCAGCTCACTGCAACCTCTGCCTCCTGGGCTCAAGTGATCCTCCCACCTCAGCCTCCTGAGTACGTGGGATTACAGGCATGTGTCACCATGCCTGGCTAATTTTTGTATTTTTTCTAGATATGGGGGTTTCACCATGTTGCCCAGGCTGATCTCGAACTCCTGGGCCCAAGCAATCCACCTGCCTCAACCACCCAAAGTGCTGGAATTACAGGCATGAGCCACTGCACCGGCCTATTTTCTAACTAACTTTTTAAATGACGTTGGACAAGTATCTTTACCTTTCTTGTTCCTGGTGCCCCAGATTTACAACAGTCTACTCTCTCAGGAATACTCTTGATAAAGTAGTAGATTATTACATTTTTCTTACTTGCAGAATTTCTGTACTAGATAGTGATAATATATACAGAGAAAGAAATTGTGATCTCTGGTTATATATTTAATAGATGGGTAATGGTTAATGAAGAAGGCCAGCAGCCAAGAGAAAGACTTTAGAATGCCAAGAGGGAAAAAAGAGCCAGTATGGAGATGGGAATACCTTTGTGAAGGCTTAGAGTTACCTCCTCAAAGGAGCCTGTTAACCCCTTTGTTGCTTCTGGCAGTCCTATATAGTTTCTGGAAAAGACTACCCTCGCGTGGAGTTGGACACCCATGGTTGTGGCCTGCGCTGCTCAGCCCTAAGTGACCCTTCTCAGGACCTGCAGTTCATTGTGGCCGGGGATGAGTGTGTCTACTTGTACCAGCCTGATGAACGTGGGCCCTGCTTCGCCTTTGAGGGCCATAAGCTCATTGCCCACTGGTTTAGAGGCTACCTTATCATTGTCTCCCGTGACCGGAAGGTTTCTCCCAAGTAAGGACTCAGTGAGAAGGGACAGGGAGAGGGCTGGACTTGTTCCCCAGAATCCGCCTGATTTTAAAATCCTAATGCCTGGATACTGCCAATCTCCTACTCCTACTCCGGTGTTATGTAGGTAACATTTCTGTTTTTTTTTTTTGAGATGGAGTCTCGCTCTGTCACCCAGGAGTGCAGTGGCGTGATCTCGGCTCACTGCAGCCTCGCCTCCTGGGTTCCAGTGATACTCCTGCCTCAGCCTCCTGAATAGCTGGGATTACAGGCATGTGCCACCACGCCTGGCTACTTTTTGTATTTTCAGTAGAGACGAGGTTTCACCATGTTGGCCAGGCTGGTGTCAGACTCCTGACCTCAAGTGATCTACCCGCCTCGGCCTCCCAAAGTACTGGGATTACAGGTGTGAGCCACTGCACCCAGCCAGTGACACTTATAGCTAGAGTTGGTTACAATGCTTTTTTTAACTGAAAAATGGATGTTTTTACTGCAGGTATTTGCTACATAGCCCTAGCATACTAGAATGCTCCAGGGAATTTGGACCTGCTTTTTTTGTTCTGTTTTGTTTGAGATGGAGTCTCGCTCTATTGCCCAGGCTGGAGTGCAGTGGCGCGATCTCGGCTCACTGCAAGCTCCGCCTCCCGGGTTCACGCCATTCTCCTGCCTCAGCCTCCCGAGCAACTGGGACTACAGGTGCCCGCCCCCATGCCCGGCTAATTTTTTGTATTTTTATTAGAGACGGGGTTTCACCGTGTTAGCCAGGATGGTCTCGATCTCCTGACCTCGTGATCTGCCTGCCTCGTCCTCCCAAAGTGCTGGGATTACAGGCGTGAGCCACTGCGCCCGGCCTTGTTTTGTTTTTTAACTCTTTTGTCAAAATAAATTGGGCAGAGGAACAAGGGATTCAGCAGTGGAGAAATTAGAAAGTGCTGGGAAACGTAGGATGCAAGTTTTCTGTTTTGTTTTGGTTTTATTTTTTTAAGGGGTAAGTGGGGTCTTCTGCATGATGAAAGTACTCCCTGTTAGATGCTGGTTTGTTTTGCTTTCATTCAGTTCCAGGCACAGTGTTTTACATATACCATGTATTGGATTATTATTTTCTAAATGAATGGATATGTTAGTGTACTTAATTTTCTAATCTGTTACTTGGGTTAATTGTAGGATCCTAAAGGGTAAGATCAGGTTTATGTGTTCTCTATGTACAACTACCGGCACAGCGCTGCATGTTATGGGATGAGAGGGACCAGAGAGGTGATTTGTGCTGGGTGAAATGTGCACCAAAGTTATCATGGGAAAGGAAATAGGGGAGATAAGACAGAGATGTCCAAACATCTGGTGCTTTTTCTTTCCTATGCAGGTCAGAGTTTACCAGCAGGGATTCACAGAGCTCCGACAAGCAGATTCTAAACATCTATGACCTGTGCAACAAGTTCATAGCCTATAGCACCGTCTTTGAGGATGTAGTGGATGTGCTTGCTGAGTGGGGCTCCCTGTACGTGCTGACGCGGGATGGGCGGGTCCACGCACTGCAGGAGAAGGACACACAGACCAAACTGGAGGCAAGGCCACCAGGCTCGCAGAGCTGGCCACAGGCACCTAGAAGCAGCTGCAGGAGCAGGTTCCCCAAGTCATATTGGCCAGGGTGTTTCCCTCCTTGTGGGTCACAGCCTTACTCAGCTTCCTTAGGGTAGGATTATAAGGTAAATGGCCTGGGATGGGGCTTTAGAGGGAAGTAGTGGCTGGGAGCCTGAGCCCACTCTAAGGGTTCACTTTGTTTCCAGAGAACCTTATGAAATAAGATGATACTGATCTTGGGGATATCTGGTAGCTCTTGGTTTGTCTAGGATCTAGGCAGATCAGAAATCCAGGACTTTCTGTTTTGTGTGTTGTGCGCACATTTTGGGAAAGTGTCTTCCCAGGACCACTTCTACCAATTTTCTAATCTCTCTTCCCTTCTAGATGCTGTTTAAGAAGAACCTATTTGAGATGGCGATTAACCTTGCCAAGAGCCAGCATCTGGACAGTGATGGGCTGGCCCAGATTTTCATGCAGTATGGAGACCATCTCTACAGCAAGGGCAACCACGATGGGGCTGTCCAGCAATATATCCGGTCAGTCTGGAGGCACTTTGGGATATAGCTGTGAATGCAGGGACAGGCAGCTAGATAGCTAAAGCCCATCCATGCTCCAGGTAGGGGCTAGAATTCTACCAGGAACTGTTTTTGTTTTTGGTTTTTTGTTTGTTTTTGTTAGTTTTTTTTTGAGATGGAGTTTCGCTCTTGTTGTCCAAGCTGGAGTGCAATGGCGCGATCTCGACTTACTGCAACCTTCCCTCCTGGGTTCACATGATTCTCCTGCTTCAGTCTCCCGAGTAGCTGGGATTACAGGCGCGTGCCACCACACCTGGCTAATTTTTTGTATTTTTAGTAGAAACGGGGTTTCACCATGTTAGCCAGGCTGGTCATGAACTCCTGACCTCAGGTGATCTGCCCGCTTCAGCCTCCCAAAGTGCTGGGATTACAGGCATGAGCCACTGCGCCCGGTGTTTTTTTCTTTGCTTTTTTTGTTTGTTTGTTTGTTTTTGAGACAGATTCTCGCTCTTTCACCCAGGCTGGAGTGCAATGGTGTGATCTCGGCTCACTGCAACCTCTGCCTCGGGTTCAAGCAATTCTCCTGTCTCAGCCTCCCAAGTAGCTGGGATTACAGGATCATGCTGCCATGCCTGGCTAATTTTTTGTATTTTTAGTAGAGACGGGGTTTCACCACGTTCTCTAGGCTGGTCTCGAACTCCTGAGCTCAGGCAATCTGCCTGCCTCGGCCTCCCAAAGTGTTAGGATTACAGGTGTGAGCCACAGTGCCTGGCCTTTTTAATTTTCTTTATAAGAACTATGATGCCTTAAATGAGAGAACAAGATTCCTTGTTGAAAAGGGAATTTTAGGGTCAAATATTATATGACCAGTATGCAGTTGAGCCGATGATTACCTCTCATTTTAACCTTTAGCTTGGCCTTTGTAAATATTCACTTTGACCTGGTTCTTTAAGGGGGAAAAGGTATTCATCTCTTGCTTCCATAATTCCTTCCATCAGTACTAATTCTTGGAATTTTCTGCCTTAAGAAGGGGTTTTAGAAATCTGTCTAAGGTGGCCGGGCGCGGTAGCTCACGCATGTAATCCCAGCACTTTGGGAGGCTGAGGCGGGTGGATCACGAGGTCAGGAGATCGAGACCATCCTGGCTAACACGGTGAAACCCCGTCTCTACTAAAAAATACAAAAAATTAGCTGGGTGTCGTGGCGGGCGCCTGTAGTCCCAGCTACTTGGGAGGCTGAGGCAGGAGAATGGCCTGAACCCCAGAGGCGGAGCTTGCAGTGAGCCGAGATCGCACCACTGCACTCCAGCCTGGGTATCAGAGCAGGACTGTCTCAAAAAAAAAAAGTTTGTCTAAGGCTGGGGTGCAGTGGCATGTGCCTGTGATCCTATCCCTTTGGGAGACCGAGGTGGGAGGAATGCATGAGCCCAGTCTGAGCAACATAGCAAGACCCCATTTCTAACAATAAATAAATAAATAAAATTTAAAAATATGGCTGGGCGCCGTGGCTCATTCCTGTAATCCCAGCACTTTGGGAGGCCAAGGCGGGTGGATCACTTGAGGTTAGGAGTTTGAGACCAGCCTGGCCAACATGGTGAAACCCTGTCTCCACTAAAAAAAAAAAAAAAAAAAAAATACAAGGCCAGGCGTGGTGGCTCACGCCTGTAATCTCAGCACTTTGGGAGGCTGAGGCAGGTGGATCACCTGAGGTCAAGAGTTCAAGACCAGCCTGGCCAACATGGCGAAACCCCATCTCTACTAAAAATACAAAAATTAGCTGGGCATGGTGGCGGGCGCCTGTAATCCCATCTTAAAAAAAAAAATTAGCTGGGTGTGGTGGCATATGCCTGTAATCCCAGCCACTCGCAAAGCTGAGGCAGGAGATTCACTTGAACCTGGGAAGCAGAGGCTATAGTGAGCCAAGATCGTGCCACTGCACTCCAGCCTGGGCAACAGAGCAAGACTCTATCAAAAAAATAATAGTAGATAATAATAATAATAATAAATAAATAAATTGCCAGGGGGCAGTGACTCACGCCTGTAATCCAAACACTTTGGGAGGCTGAGGTGGGCGGATCACGAGGTCAAGAGATTGAGACCATCCTGGCCAACATGGTGAAACCCCGTTTCTACTAAAAATACAAAAATTAGCTGGGTGTGGTGGCATGCACCTGTAGTCCCAGCTACTCGGGAGGCTGAGGCAGGAGAATAGCTTGAACCCAGGAGGCGGAGGTTGCAGTGAGCCAAGATCGTGCCCTGCACTCCAGCCTGGCGAAATAGCGAAACTTCGTCTCAAAAAAATAATAATAAAAAAAGGCCGGGTGTGGTGGCTCACACCTGTAATCCCAGCACTTTGGGAGGCTGAGGTGAGTGGATCACCTGAGGTCGGGAGTTCGAAACTAGCCTGACCAACATGGAGAAACCCTGCCTCTACTAAAAATACAAAACTAGCTGGGCATGGTGGCACATGCCTGTAATCCCAGCTACTCAGGAGGCTGAGGCAGAAGAATCGCTTGATCCTGGGAGGCAGAGGTTGCGGTGGGCTGAGATCGTGCCACTGCACTCCAGCCTGGGCAACAGGAGCGAACCTCCCTCTCAAAAAAAAAAAAATTAATTAAATTTTAAAATAATGTAAAAGAAAGAGAACAAAAATACAACAATAAAACAACAACAAAATAGTAATAATATAAAAAGAAACCTGTTTGGCCTCTTCCCCGTTCTCTTTAGAATTCCTATTTTTAGCCAAATTTAAGAAGCAGTGCTCTGGAGCCTTGTTACCCAGTGTGGTCCACAGTCTAGTAGCACCGATATTACCTGGGACTTTGTTAGAAATGTAGAATCTCAGGCCCCACTCCAGATCCACTGAAATAGAATTTGCATTTTGAGAAGATCTGCAAGTGATTCCTGTGTACATGAGCTGGAGAAGTACACTGATTCAGATGCTATCGGGTGCACATGTCTCCCTAGAACCATTGGAAAGTTGGAGCCATCCTACGTGATCCGCAAGTTTCTGGATGCCCAGCGCATTCACAACCTGACTGCCTACCTGCAGACCCTGCACCGACAATCCCTGGCCAATGCCGACCATACCACCCTGCTCCTCAACTGCTATACCAAGCTCAAGGACAGCTCGAAGCTGGAGGAGTTCATCAAGGTGCAGGATGTTGTTGGTGGGGAAGTCTTGGAGGCCCCACTGAGCATGAGGTGGCTCCACCGGGACTTGTTCGTTTCAGCAAGACATAGGGAGAGGAAAGGGCTGACCTTATTTAGAGGAGTGGCTGTTCCTGTTAGTTCGGTGCCATCTCCCCTCTTGTTTTATGATTCTAGAAATTCCCATGGTATCTAAGCCCAGGGTGGTGGCACTGGGGAAGTCCTGTCCCTAGCGGTGTCCCTCTAATGGTAGGGGCAGAGGAAAACTTTAGTCAGAAACTCCCACAGGCTGAGTAGCATAATATTTTCAAAGTGTGAACGTTATGATATCACCTTAGGAATCTGAAAGTCAGGTGCCTGTTTCCTCTCCCTTCTCTATCTCCCTCTGTGTAAATGATTTTGTCTCATGTCTCCCTGGCAGAAAAAGAGTGAGAGTGAAGTCCACTTTGATGTGGAGACAGCCATCAAGGTCCTCCGGCAGGCTGGCTACTACTCCCATGCCCTGTATCTGGCGGAGAACCATGCACATCATGAGTGGTACCTGAAGATCCAGCTAGAAGACATTAAGGTAGGTGAGACTGTCTTTTTTCCCCAAGAGACAGGGTCTCACTATGTTGCCCAGGCTGGAGTTGAATTCCTGGGCTCAGGTGATCCTCCCACCCCATCCTCCTGAGTGGAGGTGAGACTCTCAACTTGGGCAGAGCCCTGTCGTTTTTGAAGACATCTCCAGAATGGTGAAAGTGCTTCCTGGTGGCTGAGGCAGGAGTATACACTATTCTGCCCTTTACTTTTCCACAGAATTATCAGGAAGCCCTTCGATACATCGGCAAGCTGCCTTTTGAGCAGGCAGAGAGCAACATGAAGCGCTACGGCAAGATCCTCATGCACCACATACCAGAGCAGACAACTCAGTTGCTGAAGGGACTTTGTACTGATTATCGGCCCAGCCTCGAAGGCCGCAGCGATAGGGAGGCCCCAGGCTGCAGGGTGAGGCTGCAGGGAAAAGAGCTTCAGACTGTGGGGATCACCTTAAGGGCTTCCTGTATATCACGCCCACTCATTCAGCCTCCTTTTTCCTCTCTTGCCATCCTAGGCCAACTCTGAGGAGTTCATCCCCATCTTTGCCAATAACCCGCGAGAGCTGAAAGCCTTCCTAGAGCACATGAGTGAAGTGCAGCCAGACTCACCCCAGGGGATCTACGACACACTCCTTGAGCTGCGACTGCAGAACTGGGCCCACGAGAAGGATCCACAGGTGAGGCCTGGCCAGGGCTTCAGGAGAAAAGACAGTTCGTGCCGTCTCCATTCTTCCGTCTTGGTGGCTGCCTTTCACTGCATTCCTTAGACCAGTAACACCTTACCTCGGGGCTCAATGGTCCTCTGTGAAGAGGGAATGGACTGAGGGAAAGAGTTGACTGGCTTTGTCCCAAGAGACCTTGTGATTTTCCCCTTTTGTCCAGCAGCTCTGCCCTCCTTCCTCTCCAGGTCAAAGAGAAGCTTCACGCAGAGGCCATTTCCCTGCTGAAGAGTGGTCGCTTCTGCGACGTCTTTGACAAGGCCCTGGTCCTGTGCCAGATGCACGACTTCCAGGATGGTGTCCTTTACCTTTATGAGCAGGGGAAGCTGTAAGAGTTTGGGGAATTTCAGGGAAAGGGGAAGAATCCAAGTCATTTTCCAGAGACAGCCACTGAGGTGTGCCCTTGCCCCGGCCGCAGGTTCCAGCAGATCATGCACTACCACATGCAGCACGAGCAGTACCGGCAGGTCATCAGCGTGTGTGAGCGCCATGGGGAGCAGGACCCCTCCTTGTGGGAGCAGGCCCTCAGCTACTTCGCTCGCAAGGAGGAGGACTGCAAGGAGTATGTGGCAGCTGTCCTCAAGCATATCGAGAACAAGAACCTCATGCCACCTCTTCTAGGTACTTGGGAAGACAGATGGGTGGGTGACAAGCTGCTGACAGCTGGGCTCTGTGGCAGGGGCCCTTCACCTTTATCCAGAGAGTGCCACACGTGGTTGATTGTCTTGTTTCCTCTTGGACCCCAATCTCAGTGGTGCAGACCCTGGCCCACAACTCCACAGCCACACTCTCCGTCATCAGGGACTACCTGGTCCAAAAACTACAGAAACAGAGCCAGCAGATTGCACAGGATGAGCTGCGGGTGCGGCGGTACCGAGAGGAGACCACCCGTATCCGCCAGGAGATCCAAGAGCTCAAGGCCAGGTACCCGGGGCATGGATATGTGGAGGAGTCCAGGGGATAACTTGCCCTTCACAGGGTATTCATTACTAAGTACTTTCCGTAGAGGATACTATGGAGTGCTTTTGAGCATTTTGATTCTTCAAGTTGTGTTTTAATTGAGGAATTCCAAAAAATGGTTTATTACATAGATCATTATTTATTGGGCTTTGGATGATATTATTTTGTAGCAGGTACTTTTTGTTCTTTATATGCCTGTATTCTACCACTTCTAAACACATCCGTATTGTGGTTGGAAGCCGTTCTGGTGTTTTTCTTTTTTGAGACAGGATCTTGTCACTGAGGCTGGAGTGGAGGGGTGTGATCACGGCTCACTGCAGCTTTGATCTCCTGGGCTCAAGTGATTCTCCCGCCTCAGCCTCCCAAGTAGCTGGGATTACAGGCGTGTGCCACCAAGCCCAGCTAATTTTTGGATTTTTAGTAGAGATGGGGTTTATAATGTTGGCCAGGCTGGTCTCGAACTCCTGGCCTCAAGTGATCCTCCGGCCTTGACCTCCCAAAGTGCTGGGATGAGCCACGGTGCCCGGCCATAATCCCAACTCTGAAATCTTACCTGCCCTTAACATTCTGTAAAATATTTATTAGAGAACAACAGTTTCTTCATTCTACAAATATTGAGCCTCTGTGGTGTCCCAGACACTATTCTGAACAGCACAGGCAAAAAGCCTTCATGGAGCTTTATGTTGTAGAAGAGACAGACAGCAAACATGTTAAATAGGCAAACTTTTTTTTTTTCTTTTGAGATAGAGTCTCACTCTGTCACCCAGGCTAGAGTGCAGTGGCGCGATCTCAGCTCACAGCAACCTTTACCTCCTGGGTTCAAGCGATTCTCCTGCCTCAGCCTCCTGAGTAGATGGAATTACAGGCGCCTGCCACCATGCCTGGCTAATTTTTGTATTTTTGTAGAGACAGGGTTTCACTATGTTGGCCAGGCTGGTCTTGAACTCCTGACTTCAGGGGATCTGCCTGCCTTGGCCTCCCAAAGTGCTGGGATTACATGCGTGAGCCACTGCACCCGGCCAAATAGGCAAATTTTTTTTTTCTTTTTTGAGACGAAGTCTCGCTCTTGTCCCCCACGCTGGAGTGTGATGGCGCAATCTCGGCTCACTGCAACCTCTGCCTCCTGGGTTCAAGCGATTCTCCTGCCTTGGCCCCCTGAGTACCTGGGATTACAGGTGCCTGCCATCATGCCTGGCTAATCTTTATATTTTTAGTAGAGACTGGGTTTCACCATATTGGCCAGGCTGGTCTAGAACTCCTGACGTCAGGTGATCCACCTGCCTCGGCCTCCCAAAGTGCTGGGATTACAGGTGTGAGCCACTGTGCCCAGCCAAATAGACAAAGTTTTGTAGTATGTTAGGTGGTGATAAGTTCTGAGTGGCAAATGAATTGAGCAAGGGGAGTGGGAGAAGTGTGTTAACAAGTTTAGAGAAGGTGGCCCAGGAAAGGCCTCAGTGAAAGGGTCACATCTGAGTACAGACCTGAAAGTTAATTTAGTGGCAGTTGTGAAAATGGAGACAGAGGAAACAATCCCCAGGCTGAGTTGGCCTTGTTGGGAGCATGCTGAGACTCACTGCAGGTCCAGGGCTGTTGTATTCATTTGACTCCCTTAAGGCGATAAGAAGAGCAGGGCAGGGCCTTCAGGGGCCTTACCAGGGACCTTGCCCTGTGCACTTCAGCTGCCTTCTTTCTCATCCTTGACTCCTGGCCTTGCCCTCACTTTTGCCACTCACTTCTGGTCTTTCTTCCCTGTAGTCCTAAGATTTTCCAAAAGACCAAGTGCAGCATCTGTAACAGTGCCTTGGAGTTGCCCTCAGTCCACTTCCTGTGTGGCCACTCCTTCCACCAACACTGCTTTGAGAGTTACTCGGAAAGTGATGCTGACTGCCCCACCTGCCTCCCTGAAAACCGGAAGGTCATGGATATGATCCGGGCCCAGGAACAGAAACGAGATCTCCATGATCAATTCCAGCATCAGGTGGGGATGAGTGGGCTAGATGGGCCAGGGGATTCCCACTAGTGTCACAGAGTCACTGGAGGGCTTGTTTCCTTATCACCTCCTCATTTAAGAAACAAGCACTTTGATTCTGATTCGTATTCCTTCCCTCCTCTTCTCCTGCAGCTCAAGTGCTCCAATGACAGCTTTTCTGTGATTGCTGACTACTTTGGCAGAGGTGTTTTCAACAAATTGACTCTGCTGACCGACCCTCCCACAGCCAGACTGACCTCCAGCCTGGAGGCTGGGCTGCAACGCGACCTACTCATGCACTCCAGGAGGGGCACTTAAGCAGCCTGGAGGAAGATGTGGGCAACAGTGGAGGACCAAGAGAACAGACACAATGGGACCTGGGCGGGCGTTACACAGAAGGCTGGCTGACATGCCCAGGGCTCCACTCTCATCTAATGTCACAGCCCTCAGAACTAAAGCGGACTTTCTTTCCCTGCCTTCTTATTTAGTCAGCTTGCCATCCCTCCTCTTCACTAGCAGTGTAGATCATTCCAGATCAGTGGGGGAGGGCACCTCAGCAACCTCTGAGTGTGGACAATAGCTGCTTTCTTCTCTATCCAAGAGCACCAGGCTGTGCTTGGGTCCTTGCTCTCAGAGTCTATAAATAAAAGAATATAATGATTTGGGAGCTTAAGGATTTTTTTCTGGGGACTTCCTGGTGATTCTTAACTGCATGATGGACTTCCTTCCCTCTGCTCTCCTGGCGTTCCACTTCCCTCCTACGGTTTTCTTGGAGACCATGTTGACTCAGTCTCGTTCTGGTAATGGGTGGGGCCTGTGGCATCGCATACAGTTCAATTTACTGAAGAACCTCTGCAAAAGACCTAATGACTGAGCTCCAGGAGCAGCCTGGACCAAGACCCCCAAAACAGCTCTTACTCTTTCCTCTTCCTGGTCTCTATGGCTGTAGTTTGGGCAAAATATTCAAGCAGGAGGCAGATTCTGGTAGGGAGCTTTGGGCTTAACCTACCTTAAATAATGGGTAGGTTGGTGTCTTGCTATACTTAATACCAGATGATAAACGGGATAAAAGGTCCTTTCTGGAAACACCTTTCCCTCTCTGAAATTGTCAGCTAAAGTTTATGTTGCTAGGTGTCCCCGTGTAATTTGGGTGGTGCTGCCTGTCTGAAAATTGCTCCTATGTTGTCGTTTTCCCCACAGCCTCACCTAATTTCATCTTCTACGTTGTTTAATTGGAGGACGTAAGTTTGACACTGTGGTTTAGGTAGTATTTAGGATTGCCATGGGCTGGGCGCGGTGGTTCATGCCTGTAATCCCAACACTTTGCGGGGCTGAGGTGAGAGGATCGCTTGAGTCCAGGAGTTCAAGACCAGCCACCCAGGCAACATAGTGAGACCCCGTCTGTGCAAGAAATAAAAATAAACTAGCCCAGCCTGGTGGCGCTTGCCTGTGGTCCCAGCTACTCAGGAGGCTGAGGTGGGAGGATTGCTTGAGCCCAGGAAGTTGAGGCTGCAGTGAGCCTTGATCACACCACTGCACTCCAGCCTGGGTGACAGACACCCTGTCTCAAAAAGTAAAAAATTAAAAAACAGTGGCAGTATTGTAGCTGCTATGCTATGAGTAGACTTTGCATCTACTGAGCTGGGTTTGAATCCTAGTTGTGCTGTTTGACTTAAGGCACATCTTACCTTCTCAACATGTTTTTTTTTTTTTTTTGAGATGTATTTTTTTCAGTGGGTTTTTGGGGAACAGTTGGTATTTGGCTATGTGAATAAGTTCTTTAGTAGTGATTTCTGAGATTTGGTGCCCATCACCCAAGCAGTGTACACTGTACCCAATGTGTAGTCTCTTATCCCTCACCCTGCTCCCACCCTTTCCCCCTCAACCTGTGTCTTCATCTGTACGTTAGGGATTATAACACCTATGCTGTGTGGCTATTATGAAAGCCTAAGGATCAAATAGGTGTTCAGTTCTTTGTACAGTGCTGAGCACATGGGTGATTTTTTTTTTCTTCTTAAGACAGGGTCTCACCGGGCGCGGTGGCTCATGCTTGTATTCCCAGCACTCTGGGAGGCTGAGGTGGGCGGATCACCTGAGGTCAGGAGTTCAAGACCAGCCTGACCAACATGGTGAAACTCCGTCTCTACTAAAAATACAAAAACCAGCTGGGTGTGGTGGGAGGTGCCTGTAATCCTAGCTACTCAGGAGGGTGAGGCAGGAGAATTGCTTGAACCCGGGAGGTGGAGGTTGCGGTGAGCTGAGATTGCACCATTGCACTCCAGCCTGGGCAACAAGAGTGAAACTCCATCTCAAAAAAAAAAAAAAAAAAAAATGGGCGTCTCACTCTGTCATCCAGGCTAGAGTGCAGTGGCACCACCACAGCTCACAGCTACCTCGACCTCCTGGGCTCAAGCGATCCTCACACCTCAGCCTCCTGAATAGCTGGGACTACAGGTGTGTGCCGCCACACCTGGCTATTTTTGTATTTTTTGTGGAGATGAGGTTTTCACCATGTTGCCCAGGGTGGTCTCAAACTCCTGGGCTCAAGCAATCCTCCTGCCTTGGCTTCCTAAAGTGCTGGGAATATAGGTGTGAGCCACTGCACCTAGCTGGGTGATTATTAATAATCATGATTGTTAATTATGTTCATGATTACAGGCGCGGTGGCTCACGCCTGTACTCCCAGCACTTTGGGAGGCCGAGGTGGGCGAATCACCTGAGGTCAGGAGTTCAAGACCTGCCTGACTAACATGGAGAAACCTCATCTCTACCAAAAATACAAAATTAGCTGGGTGTGGTGGTGCGTGCCTGTAATCCCAGCTACTCGGGGGGCTGAGGCAGGAGAATTGCTTGAACCCGGGAGGCGGAGGTTGCAGTGAGCTGAGATCGTGCCATTGCATTCCAGCCTGGGCAACAAGAGCGAAACTCCGTCTCAAAAAAAAAAAAAAAATTATGTTCATGGGAAAGCACTTTTCCTAACAAGCCCTTTTCTCACTACATGTAGCGTTTGTGCTCCCACTTCAGTTACTTGTCTTTAGGCATGACCTTTAATCTCTCTGAACCAGTTTCCTCATTTTAAGAATTGAAATGCTGGCTGGGCCAGTGGCTCACGCCTGTAATCCCAGCACTTTGGGAGGCCAAGGCGAGATGACTGCTTGAGTCCAGGAGTTCGAGACTAGCCTGGGCAACATAGTGAGGCCACCTCCCCGCTGTCTCTATAAAAAAATCTAGAAATTAGTCCCACGTGGTGATGTGCGCCTGTAGTCCCAGCTGCTTGGGAGGCTGAGGTGGGGGGATCGCTGAAGCCGGGAGGTCAAGGCTGCAGTGACCCGTGGTCATGCCGCTGCACTCTAGTCTGGGGACACAGTGAGACCCCGTATCAAAAAGAAAAATGCTGCCTATTTCAAGGTTGTAGCAAAGCTAAGTTTGAACAGAGCAAAGGAAGCGCCATAGAAGCTGCACTACTTGCTCATGTCACAGCTGGGGAATGGGGTGGTCGAATGGGGAGGTCCACTGTCGCAATGTTCCAATTCCCGCCCAGAGGGAGGGACCTCCCCTTCGAGGGAGGGCGCCGGAAGTGACGCGAGGCTCTGCGGAGACCAGGAGTCAGACTGTAGGACGACCTCGGGTCCCACGTGTCCCCGGTACTCGCCGGCCGGAGCCCCCGGCTTCCCGGGGCCGGGGGACCTTAGCGGCACCCACACACAGCCTACTTTCCAAGCGGAGCCATGTCTGGTAACGGCAATGCGGCTGCAACGGCGGTGAGTGCTGAGCCGGTGACCAGCACACTTTGGGCTTCTGGACGAGCCGTGCAGCGATTGGCCCCAGGTTGCCATCCTCAGTCGTCTATTGGTCAGAACGGCTATCTTTTTTTTTTTTTTTTTTTTTTTTTTTTTGGTCCGAGTAGCTTTTAAAGGGCCAGTAGCTCGGTTGCCCTCCGGAAGGAATGGGGAAATCAGAGAGCGGTGATACTGGGTTAAGAGTGGAAGGATTGTTTGGAACGGAACTCCGGTCCCTGCGGGCATCTGGGTGGGATTCCCATCAGGCCTGGGATGCACGGCTCTAGATTTAGTGACCCAGACCAAGAACGTTCGTCTACACAGACGGGGTCCTTTCATTCGAGGCTGGGCTGAGGCGGATGCAGATACGGCCCCTTTGGGAAGACACGTTCCACTTTTGATTCATAGGAGAGAGTATCAGCCAAGCCTCCGAACTGCACACAAACGTCTTAGAAGTGCGCCTTCTTTTTGTGTTATAGTGGTCTCCCAGCCACAGCCAACGCTCCAAGTCCCCAGCTGTGACACACCTACTGAATTACTACCGTGGGTGGGAGGCCGCCGTGGGCCTTTCCATTACGAGCCTGCTTGCCGAGCCCTGGGCTTGTGCACAGACAAACTGCAGAGCTGGTGGAGGCCACTGCCAGGCCGAGATAAGAAAGAGATGGGGAGCTGCTAATCTCCCCCTGTCCAGCCTGTTGGTGAGGGCTGGGATCTTTGCTCTTGCAGTCATTCCAGAGCCCTGGACTAGGAGTAGGAAGATCTGAATTGTGGCCCCAACTCTCTTTCGGTTATTAGCTCTGTGACCCTAGGCAAGTCACCTCATCCCTTGATGCCACCCGTTGCTTCTGTAACATGGTCCCAAAGGTGCCTGTCTTGTCCACCTGATAGGATTTTTGAGACGACAACAATATGCAAAAGCAATAGCTTCAACATAGAAGTGCTCAGTGTTTTATTTTTTAATGAAACGGTTTGACTTGGATATGCTGTGCACATTCAATGAACTTAAGGAATTGTTTGAACCTAGTAGTTCTGGGACCTTAGAGTCCTTTCTGTGGGCTCCCTGTGGCCCAGAATTTTGGTGGCCACGTTTAATATCAAGCCTAGCCTAATTTGCAAAGGGTCTCCCAGGGTTAATTTATTGGAGTGATCACATGGAGTAGACCAGAGTCTGAGGGCAGAAAGCTGTCACCTGCTTCGGCAATAGAGGCCCCAGATGTCTGGGTGCAAAAGAACTCCATAGCACCCCGACCAACATGGTGAAACCCCGTCTCTACTAAAAATATAAAAATTAGGCCGGGCACAGTGGCTCATGCCTGTAATCCTAGCACTTTGGGAGGCCGAGGCAGGTGGATTGCCTGAGCTCAGGAGTTCGAGACCAGCCTAGGGAACACAGTGAAACCCCGTTTCTACTAAAAATACAAAAAATTAGCCGACGTGGTGGCATGCGCCTGTAGTCCCAGCTACTTGGGAGGCTAAGACAGGAGAATCGCTTGAACCTGGGAGGTGGAGGTTGCACTGAGCCGAGACCGCGCCATTGCACTCCAGCCTGGGTGACAGAGCGCGACTCCCCCTCAAAAAAAGAAAAAAAAAAAAAATATATATATATATATACACACACACACATATTTTAGCTGGGCATGGTGGTGTGCGTCTGTAGTAGTCCCAGCTACTTGGGAGGCTGAGTCAGGAGAATCGCTTGAACCTGGAAGGCAGTGGTTGTAGTTAGCTGAGAACATGCCACTGCACTCCAGCCTGGGCAACAGAGGGAGACTCTGTCTCAAAAAAAAAAAAAAAAGGAACTACATAGGATGAACATCCCAGATCAGGGAATGTTGACTGTCGACAGTATCAGTATCTACAGTGGCTACTGTCTGATGTAGAAAGAAATGGGATCAGGCTAGGCGTGGTGGCTCACGCCTGTAATCCCAGCACTTTGGGAGGCTGGGGCAGGAGGATCACAAGTTCGAGACCAGCCTGGCCAACACAGTGAAACCCCGTCTCTACTAAAAATGTGAAAATTAGCTGGGCATGGTGGAACATGCCTGTAGTTCCAGCTTGAACCCAGGGGTGGAGGTTGTAGTGAGCCTAGATCACGCCACTGCACTCCAGCCTGAGCAAAACAGTGAGACTCTGTCTAAAAAAAAAAAAAAAAAAAGAGAGAAATGGGACCTCCGTCTTAGACTGAAGAATTC